>NC_000001.11:235426545-235578060 GCF_000001405.40 Homo sapiens
GTTGGATAGTGCTAGGATGGTTTAGCGTTATGACATTTGGTTCTTTGTCATTTGATTGTAGATGTTTGTCTCAAGTTTTGAGTATATAACAATGAACTTTTAATTTATTTTTAGTTTTTTGAGACAGTCTCACTCTGTCACCCAGGCTGGAGTGCAGTGGCGCAGTCTCCACTCACTGCAACCTCCGCCTCCCGGGCTCTAGAGTTTCTCTTGCCTTAACCTCCTGAGTAGCTGGAATTACGAGCGCGTGCCACCACACCTGGTTAATTTCTGTATTTTTAGTAGAATGGGGTTTTGCCATGTGGGCCAGGCTGGTCTTGAACTCCTGACCTCAAGTGATTCCCCCGACCTTGGCATCCCAAAGTGCCGGGATTACAGGCGTGAGCCACCGCGCCTGGCCTCACAATGAACTTTTTCGTTTCTCAGTGAAGTTTTGGATAACTTAAAAATATTATGTACTCCTGAAAAAATTTGAAGCTGACTAGAGGGTATAAAATGAAAAGTTAAAACGCTCATGCTCTGGAATTAAGAGTAACTCCTTTTATGTCTTTTGTGAATCTTTTGAAATTACTGTTTCTTAACATGTGCTTTTAGATATCAGAAAGGTAGATTTGTCAAAAAACCTGTTGTCATCATGGGATGAAGTGATACACATTGCTGATCAGCTCAGACACCTGGAAGTCCTTAATGTCAGGTATGAACTCTTGGTTGCTGAATCTTCATTAACAATAAAGCTCATCTCTCCTTGCTTCCTCACAGCATCTCTGTGGAAAGAGGTAGGGAGCCGGAAGGGTTAAGGCTGCCACCTGATGATACAGGAGTTAAGAAGGAATTACTCAGGCTGATAGTGAGGGTATGGAAGTCCTCAGTAAGGTTTTCCTTTTAATGAAAAGCAGCCCCAAATTATTTTCCTTTCTAACACAAGCAGCCTGTAAAATCGAGCTGCAGACATAGATGCAGACAGTTGAGCCAATCAGGTTCAAGATGGCAGCTCCATCTTCCCTTCTCTTTTCCAGCCACGTGTACAGTAAGGAGCAGACAAGATGGTGCCAGCCAAAGGGAAATTTCATTTACATAGTAAGATTAGGGTGGGGTGGCCAGCCTTTCCTGGCTGTGTAAATGTCATGCCTGATTGAACCAATCTGTGAGCATTAAGTAAATCAGACACTGCCTCCTCAAGTCAAACTAAAATCTGTGCATCTGGGCCGGGTGCAGTGGCTCACTCCTGTAATCCCAGCATTTTGGGAGTCTGAGGCAGGCGGATCACCTGAGGTAAGGAGTTTGAGACCAGCCTGACCAACATGGAGAAACCCCGTCTCTACTAAAAATACAAAATTAGCTGGGCGTGGTGGCATGCAACTGTAGTCCCAGCTACTCAGGAGGCTGAGACAAGATAATTGCTTGAACCCGGGAGGCAGAGGTTGCAGTGAGCTGAGATCGTGCCATTGCACTCCAGCCTGGGTGATAGAGCAAGACTCCGTCAAAAAAACAAACAAGGGCCAGGCGCAGTGGCTCACGCCTGGAATCCCAACACTTTGGGAGGCTGAGGCGGGCGGATCATGAGGTCAGGAGATCGAGACCATCATAGCTAACAAAGTGAAACCCCATCTCTACTAAAAATACAAAAAATTAGCCGGGCGTGGTGGTGGGCACCTGTAGTCCCAGCTCCTCGGGAGGCTGAGGCAGGAGAATGGCATGAACCTGGGAGGCGGAGCTTGCAGTGAGCCGAGATTGTGCCACTGCACTCCAGCCTGGGCGACAGAGCGAGACTCCATCTCAGAAAACAAACAAACAAACAAAAAATCTGCATCTGCTGCCAGCTTGCCTTTTTCTTCTTGGAAGTCCCCTCTCTCTTACTAGAGAGAGAGCTGTTTTCCATCTTCTTTCTCTTGCCTTTTAAACCTCTGCTCCTAAACTCCTCATGTGTCTGTGTCCTAAATTTTCCTGGTGGGAGAAGAGGAATACCAGGTGTATACCCCAGACAACGCAGCTGCTTCGCTAGTAGACATTTTTATACAGCCAGATTTTGGTTTACTTGAATTTATCTAACTTTAACTTTAAGGACACATTTAATCTTTAAGGACACTTTATTTATTTATTTATTTATTTATTTATTTGAGACAGTGTCTCGCCCTGTCGCCAGGCTGGAGTGCAGTGGCGTGATCTTGGCTCACTGCAACCTCTGCCTCCCGGGTTTGAGCGATTCTGCTGCCTCAGCCTCCTGAGTAGCTGGGACTACAGGCACGAGCCACCACGCCCAACTAATTTTTGTGTTTTTACTAGAGACGGGGTTTCACTATGTTGGCTAGGATAGTCTCAATCTCTTGACCTTGTGATCCGCCCACATCAGCCTCCCAAAGTGCTGGGATTACAGTGTGAGCCACTGTGCCCAGCCTTATGTATGTATGTATATATGTATGTGTGTATATATATATATATATTTTTTTTTTTTTTTTTTTTGAGACAGAGTCTCACTCTTGTCGCCCAGGCTGGAGTGCAATGGCGCGATCTCGGCTCACTGCAGCTTCCCCTTCCCGGGTTCAAGGGATTCTCCTGCCTCAGTCTCCTGAGTAGCTGGGACTATGGGTGCCCACCACCACTGCCAGCTACTTTTTGTATTTTTAGTAGATGCAGGGTTTCGCCATGTTGGCCAGGCTGTTCTTGAACTCCTGACCTCAGGTTTTCCACCCACCTCGGCCTCCCAAAGTGCTGGAATTACAGGTGTGAGCCACCATGTCCCGCCTCTTTAAGGACACTTTAATCTTTAAGGGCACATTGATTATTATAGCCTTGCAAACGGTCACATGAGGTGATTCATGAATAAGGAATGTGTTTTAACTTTTACCAGGTGGGGATGAGTTAGATTTTCATTGAACTGCAAGATCTTATTTTTAGCCTGACCGTAAAGATGGAAGGTTGGGGGAGGTGATATTTAATTGGGGAGTAGGAGAGGAGAGGTGATATTATTAAAACTGCTTGTTTATTTGAAAACTTCTAGCGTTTAATTGCTGTAGGAATGAGTAATTTCATTGGGATACTGTTTAATTCTGTTTTGATAAGGATTTTTCATTAATCTACCTATTTTACTAATGTCACACTTTTCTAGGCCTTCCTGAATATTTAATTTGTTTTAATCTCAGAACCTAACTTTCCAAGGGCTTAGCCAGGCTTCCTCCATTTTTTTTTTTTTGAGGCAGAGTCTCACTCTGTTGCCCAGGCTGGAGTACAGTGGTATGATCTTGGCTCACTGCAACCTTCGCCTCCCAGATTCAAGTGATTCTCCTGCCTCAGCCTCCCAAGTAGCTGGGACTAGAGGTGCCTACCACCACACCCGGCTAATTTTTATATTTTTAGTAGAGACGGGGTTTCATCATGTTGGCCAGGCTAGTCTTGAACTCCTGACCTCAGGTGATCCATCTGCCTTGGCCTCCCAAAGTGCTGGGATTACAGGCGTGAGCTACCGTGCCCAGCACAGGTTTCCCCTTTCATTCTTGAACCATTTTTGCATAGACATGTGAGTGTACAGTAAAGCCGGTAGACAGGCCTGAATGAGTTGTGCTCCCAAATAGAGCAAACGGGGGCAATTCAACCCATGGTGTCTCATCTTCTGGAAATACGGGCTTGTGTTTTTTAATAGTATCGTCTTTCAAAGTGACTGTCAGGATTGAATACTTTCTGAGATTAGGGTTTTGAGAAATAATTTAAGGGGCAATAATTTCATCCATCCTCATAGCCAAAGGGCAGACTCTATGTTTAGAGAAGCAAAATTCTAGCCCATGATTCAGTGTATCAGTAAGACTCTGGAGAACGGGACTTTGTTTTGCAGTATCCAGAGCCATATCTTGTGAAGCTGGAAGCTCACCTTGCAAATGCCTGAGTTTTGGGTTTAGGAAGCCTACAGCCGCATACAGGTGCCCTAATCCTGTGAAAGCATCTTTACACAGCTGATACCAAAAAGTTGTATGTTGTAAATGTTAAAAATTAGGTAGTCTTGATTCACTTGAATCATTAAAAAAGTGATTTTTAAAATATAATTCCATTTTAAGATTGAAACAAATCAAACCCCTTAGATTAAAACCCAGATTGTTGCTTTCAACAACTATTTCAGTTGGGTTTACTGTATAGAAATAAGTACATTGTATCTTTTTTTTCTACACAGTGAAAATAAACTAAAATTTCCCTCCGGTTCAGTATTAACTGGAACGCTTTCTGTACTGAAGGTTTTAGTCCTCAATCAAACAGGAATAACGTGGGCTGAGGTAATCATATTTCTTTGTTTTATTACACATTAATAAGCAATTAAAAATGTTTGGTTTAATAGAGAATTGTTAGTACAGTTTAATAGTACAACTGTGGCTTCATTTAAATCATCCCAGTATCTATTAATAGATAACAAGATTCATTAAAGTGCCTTATAAAAACGAGTTAAAAGAGCATCATAGTTGAGTTTTGCATCTGGAAATCCATGTCCTATCTCAGCTCATTTTGACTTGTTCTGGTGCCTTTATAAACAGTGGCGCTCCGTTATGGTATGAACCAGTATGTGCTGAGCTTCAAAAAGCCGTAGTGTTGGCTATTGACTAGCTTCCTGAGTTTTCCTGTTAGTTTTTTTTAGAACAGAAGCCAAGCAGCAGAAAGGTTCTCACATACTTTTCTTGTTAGAAGTTCGGCTCTTGGAATCCACTGTTCATTTTATACAGCCGGGCTCAAAAGTAGACTTGTGGGTCCTTGGCACAGCAGCATTTGGGACTTATATCTGGCAGTACTATTTCCTGTCTGAGGTGTACTGACTTCACACACCCAGAGCATTCCACTTTCTTTTTTTTTTTTTTTGAGACGGAGTTTTACTCTTGTTGCCCAGGCTAGAGTGCAATGGTGCAACCTTGGCTCACTGCAACCTTTGCCTCCCAGGTTCAAGCGATTCTCCCACCTCAGCCTCCCAAGTAGCTGGGATTACAGGCATGTGCCATCACACCCAGCTAATTTTGCATTTTTAGTAGAGACATGGTTTCTCCATGTTGGTCAGGCTGGTCTCGAACTCCTGACCTCAAGTGATTTGCCCGCCTCGGCCTCCCAAAGTGCTGGGATTAGAGGTGTAAGCCACCGTGCCCAGCCCACTTTCATTTTTATTTATTTATTTTTCTTGAGACAGAGTCTCACTCTGTTGCCCAAGGTGGAGTGCAGTGGCGCAATCTCGGCTCACTGCAACCTCCGCCTCCCAGGTTCAAGTGATTCTTCCGCGTCAGCCTCTCAGGTAGCTGGGATTACAGGCATGTACCACCATGCCCAGCTAATTTTGTATCTTTAGTAGAGACAGAGTTTCTCCATGTTGGTCAGGCTGGTCTCGAACTCCTGACTTCAGGTGATCCACCCACCTCGGCCTGCTAAAGTCCTGGGATTACAGGCGTGAGCCACCGTGCCCAGCCCACTTTCATTTTTATTTATTTATTTTTCTTGAGACAGAGTCTCGCTCTGTTGCCCAAGTTGGAGTGCAGTGGCATGATCTCGGCTCACTGCAACCTCCGTCTCCTGGGTTCAAGCAATTCTCCAGCCTCAGCCTCCAAAGTAGCTGGGATTACAGGCGCTTGCCACCATGCCCAGCTTATTTTTGTATTTTTAGTAGGGACAGGGTTTCACCATGTTGGCCAGGATGGTCTTGAACTCCTGACCTCAAATGATCTGCCTGTCTCAGCCTCCCAAAATGCTGGGATTACAGGCGTGAGCCACTGTGCCCAGCTTGGGCATTCCACTTTCAAACCAAGGGTGTAGAAATACATTCCCAGCCATGTTCACCCAGGAAGTGCCACAGAGGCCACTCAGTGAGAGACAGGTGGGCCCCTTGTGCCCTTAATATGCCCGTGGCCATGGAGCCTCTTTCCTAGGGCCCCTCCTCTGTGAGGCGCTTACTCCCTCTCAAGGTGTAGATGTAGCTGGAAGACAAGAAGGGGCCAGACACTGGCACTGGGGCTCACACCTGCAATCCCAGCGCTTTGGGAGGCTGAGGTGGGAGGATCACTTGAGCCCAGGAGTTTGAGGCTGCAGTGAGCTAGGATTGCACCTTTGCACTCCAGCCTGGGTGACAGAGCAAGACGCATCTCACCCTCCAAATAAACTAGGAAGGGCACACAGAAATTGAAGTGGTGGAGATGGCAGTAAAGTTCCAGTGAGAAAATTTAGAAATAGTTGGTGAGGCTGGTCATGGTGGCTCTCGCCTATAATTCCAGCCAGCACTTTGAGAGGCCCAGGCAGGAGAATCACTTGAGGCCAGGAGTTCAAGACCCACCTAGGCAACATAGAGAGATCCTGTAGATGCTATATATATATTATATATTATTATACATAATTATATAATATATAATAATTTTTTGTAATTTTTTTTTTTGTAAAAAAAAAAAATTAGGCTCATGCGCAGTGTGGTGGCAGCAGGCACGGTCTCGACATGCAGAAAGACGCCAGCAAGTTCGTGGATCTGTGCGTGCTGCAGAAATGCTCCACCAGCAACTGCATCATCAGTGCCAAGGACCACACATCCATGCGGATGAACGTGGCCAAGGCCAGTGAGGTCACGGGCAGGTTTAACAGCCAGTTTAAAACCTGTGCTATCTGCAGGACTGTTTGCAGGATGGGTGAGTCAGATGATTCCATTCTCTAATTGGCCATGGCCAAGGGCGTCATCTCAACTATTTGGTTTTTGAGATGGAGTCTTGCTCTGTTGCCTAGGCTGGAGTGCAGTGGTGTGATATTGGCTCACTGCAACCTCTGCCTCCTGGGCCAAAATGATTCTCCTGCGTCAGCCTCCCAAGTAGCTGGGATTACAGACGTGCACTACCACGCCTGGCTAATTTTTTGTATTTTTAGTAGAGATGGGTTTTCACCACGTTGGCCAGGCTGTTCTCAAACTCCCGACCTCAAGCATTCTGTCTGCCTCAGCCTCCCAAAGTGCTGGGATTACAGGCGTGTGCAACCATACCCGGCCATTTTTGTATTTTTAGTGGTAATGGGTTTCATCATGTTGGCCAGGCTGGTCTCCAACTCCTGACCTCAAGTGATCCACCTGCCTTGGCCTCCCAAAGTGCTGGGATTACAGGCATGAACTCACTGTGCCCGATCTCAAAGAACTTTTGATTGGAGAGAATCATGGATGTAGAATATTTGTCATAAATATATAATGAAAACTTTAAAAAATGTATAATTAAAAAAATAATGAAAGAAGAAATAATTGTTGAGAAATTTATGAAAGGATATGAAAAATTAGCATATCCTTTACAAACCCAGATTGGCATTTAGAATTGAGGAAAGGTGTGTAACATCAATTTACTTATTTTGGTTAAGCAAATTCTATCAAATAATAATATGTGCAGTTAGTATCTCCTGTTCCACCTCGTAGCTGCTTTACCTAAACCATGCATTGACACGTACCTCCAAGGCCTCAAAGTGCCCACAGTGTGTGCTCCCACAGCATTAAAATGCACCCCCTTAACATTTTATTTATCACCCCCCACCACTATTCCAGGCCTGAAACAGTCTTATGAACTGTCCGTGAGGCACTTGTTTGCTGAAACAGTAACTGAGCTGAATTCTTGTGGTGGTTCCTATGAACACCCGGGAAGAAACAGCCAGCAGAGGCCGCCTGAGCCTGAACCGAGTTTCTCTTCCAGGTGCTGCGGTGTGTCGCGGGGTGCCCAGGCCTGGAGGAACTCTACCTTGAGTCTAACAACATTTTCATTTCCGAAAGGTAACTAGCACTTACTTAAATGCATCTATCCCCATTTAATCATCATTCTGAGTAAATAAATGGTCTCAATTATATCTAACCTTAATTTTTAGAAGGATTTGCAAACAAGAATTAGGAAAAATGCTTATTATTCATTGCCTTCACAAATTAGAATTTCACTAATTGGTTCTAATCAAAGGAAACTCATCAGAATTAAATATTTGTGAAGACATGAGTTATATTAGTTTTGCATCAGTGTATTAACTTGCTGTTTCTTTTTTTTCTTTTTCTTTTTTTGAGACAGAGTCTCACTCTGTCGCCCAGGCTGGAGTGCAGTGGCGATCTTGGCTCACTGTAACCTCCGCCTCCTGAGTTCAAGCGATTCTTCTGCCTCAGCCTCCCGAGTAGCTGGGATTATAGGTGCCTGCCACCATGCCCGGCTAATTTTCTTTATTTTTAGTAGAGACGGGGTTTCACCATCTTTTACGGGGTTTCACCATCTTGGCCAGGCTGGTCTCGAACTCCTGACCTTGTGAGCCACTGTGCCTGGCCAACTTGCTGTTTCTAAATGGAAGTTCTGTAGGATATGCTATAAGGATTAAATAATGTATTTTTCATTAGCATCATCTGTTTAAGGTCATTGTACCAAAGTACATGTAAAACTTTGTTCTCTGAAATATATTGTTGCCTCATCTCCTTTTTAAATTAATAATATTAAATTACTATGTAAAATTAACCTAACTGTGGGAAAATTTACAACAGATTCTGAATTAAAGGATTCAGAATCTTAAAGATTTTCGTTTACAGAAGGGTTTCATTATGTAGGCAAATGCAGGTTTTTTGTTTTGTTTTTTTTTTGAGATAGAGTTTCATTCTTGTCACCCAGGCTAGAGTGCAATGGCACCATCTCGGCTCACTGCAACCTCCACCTCCCTGGTTCAAGTGATTCTCCTGCCTCAGCCTCCCATGTAGCTGGGACTACAGGCACGTGCCACCATGCCTGGCTAATTTTTGTATTTTTAGTAGAGACGGGGTTTCACCATGTTGGCCCGGCTGGTCTTGAACTCCTGACCTCAGATGATCCACCCGCCTCGGCCTCCCGAAGTGCTGGGATTACAGGTGTGAGCCACCGTGCCTGGCCTGCAGGTTTTTTAAATTAAATTTTTTTATTTTGAGATAATCATATATTCACATGAAGTTTTATAAGAAATGATACACAGAGATCACTTGTACCCATGACCCAGGTTCCCCCATTGGTAACAAGTTGCAAAACTATGATATAGGATCACAGGCTAGGTGTGACACTGATACCGGCAGGAATATGTGCATCACCACAGGGACCACTCAGGTTGCCCCTTTACAGTCATATTTACTTGCTTCTTATCCCCAGCCCTCCATCGCACCAAATGCAGGGATTTTAAGGCTGTATCTTTGAAAACAATTAAGAGATAAATTCACGGTGAAAAAATTTTATTTTCCATACAGGCCAACAGATGTTCTCCAGACAGTCAAGTTATTAGATCTTTCCTCTAATCAATTAATTGATGAAAATCAGCTGTATCTGATAGCCCACCTGCCCAGGTAATTTGCCCCTAAATGCCTGATACAATAGTGTTCAGTCAATTCTTAGTGAAGCAGTTTTCATATGCTATGTATGCTTTCTCAATAGAAACGTGGTAACAATGATGGAATTTCTAAATTGAGTAATTCCCTTTGGGAAATTTTCATTTGAATTCATTTAGAAAATTTACTTGTGAACCCTGTATAATGTGGACTATGTCTGTACCAGATAATTTGAAGAATGAATAATTTGACCCTGGTGATAATGCGGAAAGTCTTCATTCATTAAACTCCGGGCAGTAGACCGTGTCTCTTTCCTCTGAGACGCATTTAGCACCTGACATAGCAGTAGGTACTCAAGAACCATTAGGTGACTATGGAGTCATTAGAATACAGGATAAAGAGTTCACTTTGCATGTCCTAAGTTGGACTTTATGGTTTCTAAGTATTTTACATGGGATTAAAAACCCAGGGTGTAGGAAAAAAATTTACAAACCGAGTCTGGTTGATACCCCATAGCATTTTACATTGTTCTGTGTAATCAAATTGTACATTTTGAATTTCAGGTTAGAACAATTAATCCTCTCTGACACTGGAATTTCTTCTCTACATTTTCCGGATGCTGGAATTGGTATATAAGATTAGTAAAGTTCCCCACTGCCCCCCCACACTATACTTCAGCTACTTTCACTTCTACTGTGTAACTTCATTCCTCTTTTTATAGGGTGCAAAACGTCCATGTTCCCATCCTTGAAGTACCTGGTAGTAAACGACAATCAGATATCACAAGTAAGAGCTGCTCGGAGTATGCCCAGCACACTGTTGCCTCTTTCCACTCTCATGGCAGAGTTTGGAGGTTCCTTCTACCAAAAAAGTAAAAAGAAATTTAAATCGAAAGAGAAATACCTCCTCAGAGTGAAACTCCTCATAAGAAGCCAAAAATATTAAGAAAGAAATTAGTTCACTTCACACTTAAGTGGACTTCACACTTAAATGGCACATTAATAGAGTAAAAGGGGCCGGGTGTGGTGGCTCAAGCCTGTAATCCCAGCACTTTGGGAGGTCGAGGCGGGCGGATCACCTGAGGTCGGGAGTTCGAGACCAGCCTGACCAACATGGTGAAACCCCATCTCTACTAAAAAAAAAAAAAAATCGCAAAATTAACCGGGCGTGGTGGCGCATGCCTGTAATCCCAGCTACTCGGGAGGCTGAGGCAGGAGAATCGCCTGAACTCAGGAGGCGGAGGTTGTGATGAGCCGAGATCGCGCCGTTGCTCTCCAGCCTGGGAAACGAGCGAAACTCCATCTCAAAAAACAAAACAAAACAAAACAAAAAACAACAGTAAAAGTATGTGGTCTTTCTAGAGGGGATTGCTTAGTGCATGATGAAATTCCCTGCCTCAGATTAGAACTAGGGACATGCTTTCCTGTTGCTGGTTCAAACTTCTGCAAAAGTGGCATGAACGTACCGCTTTTCATTTATTTCCTTTTGCTGTGTTTCAGTGGTCGTTTTTCAATGAGCTAGAGAAGTTACCAAGTCTACGGGCTTTGTCCTGCCTAAGAAACCCCCTGACCAAAGAGGACAAAGAAGCAGAGACGGCGCGACTACTCATTATCGCCAGCATTGGCCAGCTGAAGACGCTGAACAAATGTGAGGTGAGCACTGGCGTCATGACTAGATATTTTTTAGACTAGAAAATAAATGATTTTAGGCCAGGCGCCGTGGCTCACACCTGTAATCCCAGCACTTTGGGAGGCTGGGGCAGGCTGATCGCTGCAGTCCAGGAGTTTGAGACCAGCCTGGGCAATCTTGTGAAACCCCATCTCTACAAAAAATACAAAAATTAGCTGCATGGTGGCACGCGCCTGTAAGTGCTTGTAGTCCCAGCTACTCAGGAGGCTGAAGTGGGAGAATCACCTGAGCCCGGGAGGCCAAGGCTGCAGTGAGCCATGAACATGCCACTGCACTCCAGCCTGGGCAATGGAGTGAGACCCTGTCTTAATTTAAAAAAAAAAAAAAAAGTAAAAAAATTATTTTTGAATATTGTAAAGGGGGTGAGATGTAGCTTTCCTTGGAATGGTAAAGATTAGCCTTGTGCAGTTTCATAATAGTGGTTCTTTTCCAGCTCCTCAGGAGAGAGTCCTCCACTTAGATCAGTGCAGTATCATTTGAGGCACACCAGGCACCGTCTCCATGTTTTCAGGGAATGTAGGCAGAAAGAACACAGACCACAGAGCTGCTTTCTCCTCCCCTTCTCAGCCACTCTTCCCCATAAAAGTGGGAAGTCCATGCCTTGTCCTTGCCAGCACTTTTGTGCATTCACTGGGAGTCAGTCAGCTCCACCAGAGCAGGCGCCTCCAGGCAGACCTGGGGGAGGCGACCCAGGGTACCTGGTGTAGTCCTGAAACTGGCCTATGCGCAAGTACTCGCATGAATTAAAAGTGTAGGCCAGGCACGGTGGCTGACACCTGTAATCCCAGCACTTTGGGAGGCCGAGGTTGGCAGATCATGAGGTCAGGAGATCGAGACCATCCTGGCTAACACGGCGAAACCCCGTCTCTACTAAAAATACAAAAAAATTAGCCAGGCATTGTGGCATGCACCTGTAATCCCAGCTATTCCAGAGGCTGAGGCAGGAGAATCACTTGAATCTGGGAGGTGGAGGTTGCAGTGAGCTGAGATCATGCCACTGCACTCTAGCCTGGGCGACACAGCGAGACTCCATCTCAAATTAAAAAAAAAAAGAGTGTAAAACTGAAATTCTTTTTTCTTTTCTAATAAACCCCTGAGTTCTGTCAATGTTAAAAAGAAGGGTGAAAACTAGATCTTGTCCCTCTCAATTTGATTATTTTCTGCATGTGCTATGGAGGAAGGACAAGGTGCAAAACGCAAAGGACATGTTAGAAAAAAGCTTTGTAATAGGCTTGTTTTTATGTCACATGAACATAGATTCTCCCCGAGGAGAGGCGGAGAGCTGAGCTTGACTACCGAAAAGCTTTTGGAAATGAGTGGAAACAGGCTGGTGGACATAAGGATCCGGAAAAAAACAGACTCAGCGAAGAATTCCTCACAGCCCATCCCAGATACCAGTTCCTCTGCCTGAGTACGTGCGTATACACTGGTGGCCTTCAGGTGGTGGATTTCCAGCTGGAACAAAGTTTTTTCTTGGGTATCAAAAGAGGTTCTCAGTGTTGCTTTTGCCCTTCTTCCTTTCCTGGGCTTCTTGTATTCATCTGAATGGACTATAGGCACTTTCCTGGGGCGAGGGCGGCAGGGCAAGAGCAGTATCTTTCAGCAGGAGGAACCTGGGAGACTGTTTATGTTCTTGAAATGGAGAGGTTTGCATTTGGGGAAGGGAAAGCAATTCTTTTATTTTTAAGAGATGGAGTTGGCCGGGCGCGGTGGCTCAGGCCTGTAATCCCAGCATTTTGGGAGGCTGAGGCGGGTGGATCACGAGGTCAGGAGATCGAGACCATCCTAGCTAACACGGTGAAACCCCGTCCCTACTAAAAATACAAAAAAAAAAATGAGCCGGGCGTGGTGGCGGGCACCTGTAGTCCCAGCTACTCAGGAGGCTGAGGCAGGAGAATGGTGTGAACCCGGGGGGCGGAGCTTGCAGTGAGCCGAGATCACACCACTGTACTCCAGCCTGGGCGACAGAACGAGACTCCGTCTCAAAACAAAAAAAGAGAGATGGAGTCTTGCTCTGTCGCCCAGGCCCAGGCTGGAGTGATCTCAGCTCACTGTAACCCCTGCCTCCCGGGTTCAATTTATTCTCCTGCCTTAGCCTCCTGAGTAGCTGGGATTAGAGGCGCCCGCCACCACGCCCGACTAATTTTTGTATTTTTAGTAGAGACGGGGTTTCACCATATTGGCCAGGCTGGTCTTGAACTCCTGACCTCAAGTGATCCACCCGCCTCGGCCTGTCAAAGTGCTGAGATTATAGGTGTGAGCCACCGTGCGTAGCAGGAAAGCATTTCTTTTTCTTTTTTTTTCTTTTGAGACAGAGTCTTGCTCTGTCACCCAGGCTGGAGTGCAGTGGCACAATCTCAGCTCATTGCAACCTCCACCTCCTGGGTTCAAGTGATTCTCCTCCCTCAGCTTCCAGAGTAGCTGGGACTACAGGCGCACACCACCATGCCTGGCTAATTTTTGTATATTTATTTTTTGAGACGGAGCCTCGCTCTGTCGCCCAGGCTGGAGTGCAGTGCCGCGATCTCCGCTCACTGCAAGCTCCGCCTCCCGGGTTCACGCCATTCTCCTGCCTCAGCCTCCCGAGTGGCTGGGACTACAGGCGCCCACCACCACACCCGGCTAATTTTTTGTATTTTTAGTAGGGACGGGGTTTCACCGTGTTAGCCAGGATGGTCTCGATCTCCTGACCTTGTGATCCACCCACCTTGGCCTCCCAGAGTGCTGGGATTACAGGCGTGAGCCACCGCGCCCAGCCAGGGAAAGCACTTCTTAAATGTAGGTTCTTCTCTTGCATATGTCCACCAGGTTTCAGGTGGCGCACCATGCTCCACTGTAGGAAGGGTAGGAAGCACTCCAGTTTATGTCTGAGGCATCCGTATATATATATATTTTTTTGAGATGGTGTTTCGCTCTTGTTGCCCAGACTGGAGTCCAATGGCGCGATCTCGGCTCACTGCAACCTCTACCTCCTGGGTTCAAGTGATTCTCCTGCTTCAGCCTCCTGAGAAGCTGGGATTACAGGCGTCTGCCACCATGCCCGGCTAATTTTTTGTATTTTTAGTAGAGATGGGGTTTCACCAGGTTGGCCAGGCTGGTCTCAAACTCCTGAACTCAGGTGATTCGCCCGCCTCAGCCTCCCAAAGTGCTGGGATTACAGGCGAGAGCCACCGCGCCCAGCCGGCATCTGTATTTTTTTAAAGCCCCCCAGGTAATTCTAGTGAATAGGAAAGTTCGTATGAGTGTAGTTCTGCAGTAAGCTCTCGTCCCGAGGGCTCGCTACCAAGGCTGGCACTTGGCATGCACGGTGGTTCCTTAAATCCTCCAGCCTGGTTCTTCAGGCTTTGAAGCTAAGAATTCATGAGTCTTTGTCCCTGATGTACTTTCCATTTTGTTTTGATGACATTATTACTCCACATTTCGCTTTTATGTTATTTCCTTTTTTATATTTCTTAATGCAAGAAGCTCGCTGCATAAACGCTTCAGGCTTGAACAGTATGTTTAAGGAAGAAAAGCAGCCTAGAGGAATCACTTTCAAATGACTCCATTAGCCAGCCCAATCTCCTGGCCACGCTCGGTGAATTCTAAATCACTCGGGGGTGGGCAAGGGAAGATGTGAAGCAGCCGGGCAGGTATTGTTGAGTATTTCACTGCTAAGAATGTTAGAAGACAAAAGCACAGATAGATGGGGGGATTTAGAGAAATGTTGTCACTGTTTGGCCTAGAGCAGGAAAAAAGTACTGCTTTCCTCCTCTCCTGTGGAGGCTGTGGTCCAGGCCTAGGAACTGGTTTGCAGTATGGTACTGAGCACCCAGCCTGGCACTGCACGGTCTGGTGGAAACGTGAGAAGTGTCCTGTGGATCGTGTCTCAGGTGGCACCAGGTTTCTGTCAGCGCAGAAAGAGAACTGTTACCAAAGGTGACACTCGGGGAAAACATTTGAAGTATTTGAAGGCAGTCTTCTCTTGCTAGTTTTGAGTCAGGACACCTAAGGAACAATGATGTAATACACATGTAAACATGTTGCTTTTCATTTGTTGTCTTTTGTTGAGTTTCACTGGTCATTAACAATGAGCTAGATAAGCTACAGAGTCTGCAGCTCTGGGTAGATAGAAGATTCTGCCCTTGGAAGTGGTCGTTGTCCATCACTCCTAAAAATCACACTGAATAAAGGCAGCTCCATGTGTCCTGGGAAAGGCACAGGCTCTCTGGACGCTTACCTATCCTTTGTTTGTTTGTTTGTTTTGTTTTTACTTATAGTGGCCTTTGGTTTATCATTCATCTCTTTTGCTTTCTTAAACAGAATATGGTGCACCTGAAGATTGGGAACTCAAAACACAGCAACCACTTATGCTGAAAAACCAGCTACTAAGTAAGAATCTCAGATTCAAATAGTTTATTTGTATTTGAGTGCTTAGGTGCTGAAACAGTTAGTGTGTTTCTCTTAAGTGTGTACCTCTTAAGTACCTAAGTAAATGCCTTGAGTTTTAAATGAAAATTTTTTTTTTTTTTTTTGAGACAGAGTCTCCCTCTGTCTCCCAGGCTGGAGTGCAGTGGTGTGATCTCAGCTCATTGCAACCTCCGCCTCCCAGGTTCTAAGCGATTCTCCTGCCTCAGCCTCTGGAGTAGCTGGGACTACAGGCATACACAACCATGCCCGGCTAATTTTTTTTAATCGAGACGGAGTTTTGCTCTTGTTGCCCAGACTGGAGTGCAGTGGCACGATCTTGGCTCACCGCAACCTCCGCCTCCCGGGTTCAAGCGATTTTCGTGCCTTAGCCTCCCGAGTAGCTGGGATTACAGGCATGCGCCACCACACCCAGTTAATTTTGTATTTTTAGTAGAGATGGGGTTTCACCATGTTGGCCAGGCTGGTCTCAAACTCCTGACCTCAGGAGATCCACCCGCCTCGGCCTCCCAAAGTGCTAGGATTAGCGGCATGAGCTACCGCGCCCTGTCAAAGAAATGAATTCTTTAAAACATGTTTAAATTCTTATACATTTTTGTAACTCCTATGTTTTAAACTCATTTAATAGTGTTATAAATGTGGGAGGTATTGGAGTTGTGAACCAAATTGTGATTTGTGAATTTATGACTTGAAAACCTAGCCAAGCTGTAAGGAAAGAAGTACTAAGTGGGGAAAAGGGAAAGTATTGTCCAGCTATTTCTGTTGTTGTTAGCAATCCATGGAAGGATTAATAGAAAGAATTTTAAACATTGATTAGACCTGCCAATTTGCACTGAATACCTCTATCATTTGGCCATCTGTTGATGTGTGTGGATAATTTAAATCCATATAATAGTAGATATCAATTAGTCTTTTTCTTTGTTTCTCTTAAAGCACTGAAGATAAAATACCCTCATCAACTTGATCAGAAAGTCCTGGAGAAACAACTGCCGGGTAAGAAGAACCAGCCTGTCTTTTCCTTAAACTCTGAATCATCGGCCTAGGTATGAGTCAGCTAAAATTAAAACCTTTAACTCATGTCTCAAAGTGTGGACCTCAGAACTTACAGGTTTTCATTAGTCTTTTATATTCTAAAATACAATCAATCATGCTAATATCACTCCCCCATGCCCCCAAAAGTTCAGGTCTCCCCTAACTTTATCAGCTGAAAGCAGTTCTGTTAAAATTGGAAGCCCCTGCATATAATTACACACACACACACACACACATATATATATACACACACACACACAATTTTTTTTGAGACAGGGCCTCACTCTGTCACCCAGGTTGGAATGCAGTGGCACCAACTCAGCTCACGGCAGCCTCTGCTTCCTGGGCCCAAGCAATTCTCCAGCCTCAGCCTCCACGTAGCTGGGACTACACGTGCGAGCCACCAACGCCCAGCTAATTTTTGTATTTTTTGTAGAGATGGGTTTTCGCCATGTTGCCCAGGCTGGTCTCGAATTCCTGAGCTCAAAGCCATCCTCCTGCCTCAGCCTCCCAGTGTTGGAATTAATTACAGGCATGAGCCACTGCAGTTGGCCTAAGTTGTATTTTTAACCAAAAAACCTGAGACCTTGAATGGCATAGCCTTTTGGAAGCATTCCCCAAGCCTGCTGCTGTTTCCAGGGAGACTGTGACACTGGGTTTGGGGTCTGCTTCTCATCCCTTCATAAGAGAGGAGCTGTGTCCTGGTGAACCAAATTCTTACGGGAGGTTTGTGACTTTGCTTACATTCTACTTCTCCTGACTGATTAGGAGTCCCTGCAAAAACAATTCGCAGATGCTCTTTTAATGGACACCCTGAAATGGTTTTCTTTGAGAAAGCTACCTTAGAACTTAAAAAAATTGTGGTACTGGAACTGAATTACTTTTATTTGGAAAATAAATATGCTTGTGTCAATAAAGTAGATCAACATAACTTACCTTAAACTTTCACTCAAAAGAAAAATGAAATTATAGTCTATTTTTGAGTATGCCATGATACTGTGAATTCTCAAGATTAAACTTGATTCATAGCTAAATGCTAAAATATAAATAATTTAGAGCAGTGAGGATTTAAATAAATGAAATACACATCAGCTTAATGACTCTAGTACACTGGGTTTCTTTGCCCATCAGTGCAGTAAATTCACATTGATTTTTAAATTAGTTTCTATCAGATAAAGCAAGCTTATCATGGTATTGCTTATAGAAGGCCTTAGTTGTGTTCAAAGAAGTACCTTTCTGATTGATAACCATCCATTTAATTTACCACAACGTCTCCATTTTTATTTATTCACAATCCAGTTTCTACTCCTGTAATATGTAATTTGGCTACTGCTATATAATGGGTTAGAATTAGTGATTTCCCCCTTCATTATTCTGTTTTCAAACTTAGACAGACAGTAAAGGCCCTGGTGGAGACAGACTAGTCAAAGAGGGCCAGGACTGTTTTATTTTTGATATATTTTTTTCAGATGGGGTCTGGCTGTCACTCACGCTGGAGTGCAGTGGTGCCATCTCAGCTCACTGCAGGCTCCATCACCTTGATCCCGGGCTCAAGTGATCCTCCTACCTCAGCCTCCTGAGTAGCTGGGACTATAGGCACGAACCACCACACCCCGCTAATTTTTTTGATTTTTAGTAGAGATGAAGCCTCGCTATGTTGCTAAGGCTGGCCTCAAACTCCTGAGCTCAAGCAGTTCTCCTGTCATCACCTCCCAAAGTGCTGGGGTTATAGGTGTGAGCCACCATGCCTGGCAGGCCAGGACTTTCTGTGAATGTTTTTGGCCTTCGATGTCTTTGCGTGTTTCCTTTTGCCTTTGCAGATACATCAAATCAATTCATGGGAATGTTACCACTATAGAGTATTTGCTCAAGAATATTGTCATTAGACCTGTTTCGTTAAGCTTTCCTTTTCAGTCTTTCTCTGGAAGGCACTGAGGTAGACCTGCCAAGGCCTGCCGTCTGGGCATATGCCTGAATGCAGCCCTTGGCTGGGGGTGACAGTGCCGCCTTACCCTTCTCTACTTCCACACTGTACACCTGACTGGTATCCCAGGTCTTCTGAGATTCAGTTAGCCATTTTGGGAACACCCACTGCATTCATGCTGTTTTTATTAATCTTTGGGTAGCTAGCAGAGATTCGACTATCCATAGAAATTATATGTAAGAATTACTACTTTAAACTATTCAGAATCTGAGTCCTATATTCTATAAATTCAGCAGTAAGCCAGCAGATTACAAGGGTTCCTTTTTTTCCCCTTTTTTATTTGCTTTTCTGTTTCTCAAATGTGCACTCACTCACTCACTCATACAAAGGTTCTTAATACTAATTCTTATGCCACATGCTGTGAATATTTAACCACTAACATAGGTAAATGTCTTCTAAACAGAAAAGTAATAGCCAGGCATGGTGGCTCACACCTGTAATCCTAGCACTTTGGGAGGCCAAGGTGGGCAAATTGCTTGAGCCCAGGAGTTCGAGACCAGCCTGAGCAACATGGTGAAACCCCGTCTCTACAAAAATAAATAAATACAAAAATTAGCTGGGTGTGGTGGTGCATGCCTGTAGTCCCAGCTGCTTGGGCGGCTGAGGTGGGAGGATCACTTGAGCCTGGGAAGTTGAGGCTGCAGTGAGCTGTGATTGAGCCACTGCAATCTGGCCTGGGTGACAGAGTGAGGCCCTGTCTAAAATTAAAACAAAACAAAACAAAACTGCAATATCTTTTTTTTTATCCATTAGATTAGCAAAATTAAAATAATACTGGCTGGCATGAAAAAGCAGTATACCCTTTTTTAAAGTCATGTGGGAACTACTATAAAAAGTTAAAAATACACATATGCTCTGACCAAGCATTGTATCTTGCAGCATTTGTAATGGTAAAGATAGTAAGAATCTAAGTACTTGCCAGCGGAGGAATGGTGAATAAGCTCTGGTGGAACCACACAGCACACAAGGCACTGTCGTGTGTCACCGAGGAGAGTGAAGCAGTCTAGAGCTGCGCTGTCCAGTGTGGCTGCAATAACCACATGTGGCTATTTAAATTCATTAAAATAAAATAAATTGAGTTCTTCAGTCATACTCGCCGCTTTCCAGGTGCTCAGTACCACATGTGGCTGCCATACTGGGCAGTGTATGGCTAGAGGACATGGCATGGAATTGGCATGAAAAGCTATACCATCATGTCATAAAGAAATACAAATGTAGTACGTCAATATATTATAAAACCTATACATCCTTTTTTTTTTGAGACGGAGTCTCATTCTGTCACCCAGGCTAGAGTGCAGTGGCATGATCTCGGCTCACTGCAAACTCTGCCTTCCGGGTTCAAGCAACTCTCCCGGCCTCAGCTTCCCAAGTAGCTGGGATAACAGGTGCCCGCCACCATGCCTGGCTAATTTTTGTATTTTTAGTAGAGACGGGGTTTCTCCATGTTGGCCAGGCTGGTCTCAAACTCCTGACCTCAGATGATCCGCCCGCCTCGGCCTCCCAAAGTGTTGGGATTACAGGCGTGAGCCACTGCGCCTGGCTTAAAACCTATACATCCTTATATGAACACAGAAAAAAAAAGGCCTAGAGGTATACCTCTCAAATTTTTAACACTGGTCATAGGCAGGTAAAAAGAAATAATCAGCTATTTCCATATTTTCTGAATGTTAAGACAGTCATGTTACTATATTAAAAATGGTAATGCTATTTATTACATAGAGATTGCTACTTTCTTCTATAGAACCGGTATGAGTAGGCAGGTTTTTTTTTTTTTTTTGAGACAGGTTCTCACTTTGTTACCCAGGCTGGATGGAGTACAGTGGCGCGATCATGGCTCACTGTAGCCTTGACCTCCTGGGCTCAAGTGATCCTCCCAAGTAGCTGGGACTAGAGGCGTACATCGCTATGCTTGGCTAATTTTTTATTTTTTGTAGAGATGGGGTATCCTCATGTTGCCCAGGCTGGTCTCAAATTCCTGGGCTCTGATCCCTCTGCCTCCCAAAGTGCTGGGGTTACAGGTGTGAGCAGGCCAGGCAGATTTCTTATTAGAACTGTTTTATGACCAAACTTTTTGTTTCTGGCATGTGTTAGGAGTATGTCACTCCCCACTGGTGTGCAGCAGGTAACCCCTTCTCTCACCAGCCTTCAAACAATGAAAGCCAGTCCGTCTCAATCTTTTGAAAGGACTAGACTATCACATATTCACACATGAAAGAGCAAATTGTTAATTAAAATTATAAATTCTATTAACTGTATTCAATACATACAAAAAGGCCAGTTTTTATTCTAAAATAAAGAACATTTATTATCACAAGTTGGATAAAAACACACAGCTTTTACAAAAATGATTTTTGATAGAAAAATATGTTTGAATACACTGTGATATTTGTAGGAACACCACACTATTGCTGTATCTCCAGCTAAAGCTTCAAGGAAACTCTATTTCTTATAATCAAAATATCCACTATTTACCACAACCCGTCTTTGGAAAGAAGTTCATAGTGTATTCTGAACAAACCAAAGCATTTACTCGGAAGTTACATTCCCATGCCTGGCAGTCACTTGTGTATGTTTAATACAGTTACACATGATGTAATTACAGAATGGCGGCGCTGGAAGGGACCTTGTAGATCATTTAGTTGGCACCCTAATTTTACAGAGGGGGAACTAAGGCCAGAGTTGAGAGATGTCCTCAGGATACCTGAGTCCCATTCCAGTGTTCGTTCAGTAATTCATAAGGAAGTCATCATAAAGGTTTAAAAAGAAAACGTTAATGACTCGCTCCCTTTATTCTTCTGTGCTGAGAGTATCATTCTGGTTTATTCAGATTAAGAAAGAAATACACTACTGAAATGGTATGAAACTCACTGTCAAAGGGCACTTAGGTCCGTTGGCTCCGTTTCCCACAGTTCCCCAAATGAACAGGTGGTACAAGACTCAGGCTTTCCCCTAATTACTTACTTGGGTAAAGTGACTTGGGTAAAATGAAAGATACAGCCAGGCGCTGGGCTCATGCTTGTAATCCCAGCACTTTGGGGGGCCAGGGCGGGCGGATCACGAGGTCAGGAGTTCAAGACCAGCCTGGCCAACATGGTGAAACCCCGTCTCTACTAAAAATACAAAAGTTAGCTGGGTGTGGTGATGGGCACCAGCTACTCAGGAGGCTGAGGCAGGAGAATTGTTTGAACCCGGGAAGCGGAGGTTGCAGTGAGCCGAGATTACACCATTGCACTCCAGCCTGGGCGACAGAGCAAGACTTACTTAAGTAAGTAAGTAAGTCAGTCTCAAAAAAAAAAAAAAAAAAAAGACAGATACAGCTATCATTGCAATGATACTGTGGTCTCATCACATGAGCTAGTTTTACAGGTAACTGTCATTTGAGAGAACGAATGGACTTTTCTTGTCTTTTGATAGGCTCCATGACAATTCAAAAGGTGAAGGGATTGCTGTCACGTCTTCTCAAAGTTCCTGTGTCAGACCTTCTGTTGTCCTATGAAAGTCCCAAAGTAAGTTGCCCAGCAAAATACAAAGTCAAAGTCAAGCTTAGTCCTCGTATTATGACATTAAACTGTCTCTAGATAGCAACAGTTTGATTCTAAATGGAGACCATGGGTCTGTTTGTTTGATTTTAAGGGTAAGCTACTGCCTGGGGACGGGGTGGGGGAAGAGTATGTGTAGCATGCTTTATCGGATCTGTCTTAATCACATCCTTCCCCACCTTCGTTCTAATTTTAGAAGCCGGGCAGAGAAATCGAGCTGGAAAATGACCTAAAGTCATTACAGTTTTATTCTGTGGAAAATGGAGATTGTCTATTAGTGCGATGGTGACAACCAACTAATAAAATTTAAAGACCACACTGCTTATCGTGTCTGGGGTTCACCGGAAATAAATGATTCACTGGAACAATTCTACTGTCAAAACAAAGGGGGTTTACAACTTGTCCTAAGTATAACAAGGGATGTATTTTTTGTTGGGAAGTGACCATTTCTAGGCTTATACATAATAGCAATAATAAAGGCTTTGAACCTACTAATGATTTTCTGATCTTATTTCATATTTATTTTTACAGCTCATCACTGCATTTCATGATAAGATTTAAATATTAAATAGAAAGAAACTAGCTAGCCTAATAAAATCTGAACACAGTTAATATCTGTCATAAGACTAGTTTTAATGGAATTCTCTATTGAAACTACTATTTTAAAGGGTTACTAGAAATGATTTGGTTGGTCATTTTGGGAAATGTCCCTTAAACTTGGGGAGACATCCTCTACTATGTATAACAATATGCTATTATCTGTCTTCTCAGTTGCACTATTTCTAAGAGTACTTAAATTAATCACATGCTTTTCCCTACAATTATACCTAAGCTGAGTATATCTTCTTCTGTGATAACCAGCTTTGATTGAAATGTACTCATATTAGGTAAACATTAGGCAATGATAGGAGGAAAGCAAAACTAATTCTTTCAAAATGTCAACAAAATTTAGAAATATCCTTCCCGATGGCACTAAAACCCTGAGAGGTATTTGCTTTTATTCATACTCACACAACTTTAGCATTTAAAAACTATGAGTACTAAACTGTGACCTTCAGGATTTATGTTAGATGGCAGAAAGAAAATTTGGGTATTAGTCTACCATATAAATGAACTTCTTTAAAACCAAGGTTCAGAACTGAGAATCATATTGGTTCCTCTTCAAGTTAGTTCAAGTTGCCCACTTCAGAGATCCACAAAATCTGACATTATTTCCAGAAACCCCAAACTTTGGTATAAGTGACCACTGCTCAAATATGTGATCACATGATCACACAGCATTCCTGTGAGTTCCTTTTTGTCTGATAATTATCCTAATTAGCTCTACAGAGCTATCCTGCAATCCAGGTTGAAATTCAAACTCTCAGTTACTACTACAGATTTCTGAACTAGGCCAAGTTTTAACCAAAAACTATAGGTAATGGTGAATTACTAATTAGCCACAATGCATCAGGATTTAGAAATATTTTTTCTTTTATAAAATAACTTGGTATTTTTCTGATAATCTTCCAATAGATAAATAAAAACTTTTCTTATGCTACAGTACAAGTTGATTTTTAAGGAAATTTGTGCAAACATTAAGAAACACCGCATTGGTTCTGGGTGAAAGTGCCAGTCTGGAACTCTCTTGAAAGACCATACAGTCTACTGCTAAACCCTGGGACTCCTCAGACTTGCACTCAGATTATCGTTTGCCTGCCCTGATTTTAGACTCTGCTAATTCAAGTCCCTGTTATCTTGCTTGACATCGACAAGGATCACCGCACCGTTCCTTCAGTTTCCACAGTTCCGTCAGTTCCCACGGAGAATACTGAGGAGAAGACAGCATTCCTGTCTCACAGGTCTTCTCACACAGCCACAGACTGTCCTGTTGAGAAACAACCAAAGCCGATCTGAGAGTGGTGAAACTGTTTTAAGAGCATCAGAAAGTATGCACGTAGACAGCTTTTATGTATTCTAATGATGCTGAAATTATTTCAAGGATAACTCCGTGTGTGGAACAACTGGTGAGGTTTGGGGGTGGCACCTCCTGATTTGGGAAAGCACCAGGTCCCACAGTCCTGTGGCTGTGGAATACAGAAACAAGGCGGTGTGTGGATGAAGAGTTAGTCAACAAATGCCATTCCGTAATGAACGATTTTAGAAACCACAAGTGAGTTTCATGTTTGCTAGTAAAGGTGTGTCTATGGCAGTATTAGTAACAGCTATTATTCTGATGGAATGCTTACAATATTGCAGGGACTGTACCAAGTGCTTTGTAAATATCTCACTTAAATCTCACAGTAATGCTGTGAGGTAGGAACTATTTCCCTCTTAACAATTGAGGAACAAACGAAGAGTTAAAAAACTTGTTCCAGGTCACAGGGCTGGTAAATGAAGAGGAGGGATTAAAGACTCCCAAGCTCAAGTTCTTAACCACTAGACTATTTCCTAGCTACGTGAATTGGTTTCTATTTCCAGCAATGTAGCAGAACACAGAGAGAAACTCATTCAATGTTTTGACAACACAAAAATGTTGGATAAAATTAAAAACCTTTATAAAGCATGGCTCAACTCCGTGATCAAAGAAGAAACAGGGTAGGAGAAAGCACTGAGTCAGCCTGTGCCTTGAAGGCAGCTGCTGATCCTTGGGTTTGGAAGGCCAAGCCCAGGGTCAGGAGACTAATGGGAGACTGACACAGAGCTAGGATCTCTGAGGGGCCACAGCCTCAGGGGTGATAAAACAAAACACACTCAGCTTGTCTGTCTCAGTCTTGCCCCTCAGTGGGATGGAAAGGAGTCTCTCTCCCCTCAGTGCCTACCCACAGCTTGCACTTAGGTAGGTCTGGGGCTGGTAGTCAGTCTGTGTAAGCCCAACAGTTCCAAGCCAAAAATCTGAAGTATTCATAGATGGTAGTATTCCTAGATGCATGGCAGAAAAAAATGTAAATATGTAAATCCTCTCTGTAGGAATGCATTTTAAATAGAGGACTCAGTTTCCAAAGACATGAGATGGTCACAAAAAAAAAAAAAAAAAAAAGACCGCATCAGAAAACAAGCGCCATGAACAACAGTTGTAGAAACAACAAACTGCAAAATCAGACCCAGCAAAGACTACAGATCCCAGAATTACCAGATACAAAAAAGAATTATATTCAAAGATGAGACAAAGTACAGCAAAGGAATCAGACTATCAAAGTGGACCATGTAGATGTGGGTTGATTTCTTGTCCTGGACTGAGAGCTGCTCTGGGACCCCAGCTCTATGCAGGGCTTCTAACTGACAGACACTGCATGTGCCTTCTGTCCCCTGCACCTTCGATGGCCAAAGTGGAAGCTGCAAGAATCCAGAACAGAAATCTCTGAAGCTAAAGCCAGCTTTGTGCTTGATTTCTTCCCAGGGCTCTAGTTTCCATTTTGGTCTCTGCAGATTCATTTTTTTTTCTGGTTCAGCAATACTGTGTTTTAAATGATGTCTTATATTTCATGCAGTGTCTTATTTTTATCGGTCAGAAGGGTTGAAGGATCCTTAGACTGCCACACTCAATCAGTGGATTCTGTCGTTCAGTTTTTTTTTTTGAGACGGAGTCTCGCTCTGTCGCCCAGGCTGGAGTACAGTGGTGTGATCTTGGCTCACTGCAAGCTCTGCCCCCCGGGTTCATGCCATTCTCCTGCCTCAGCCTTCTGAGTAGCTGGGACCACAGGCGCCCGCCACTATGCCTGGCTAATTTTTTTTGTATTTTTAGTAGAGATGGGGTTTCACCGTGTTAGCCAGGATGGTCTCCATCTCCTGACCTCATGATCTGCCCGCCTCGGCCTTCTGTTGTTAAGTTTTAAAGCTGCAAATAATTTCTGATCAAATCTATGGAAACTGAGTTTTTTTGTAGGCAGGGGAACGTTGATTTATAACCTTTTGCTTTAAACTCAGAAAAATACTGTATGAGAAATAACCTAGTGGATTATTGTGAATTAAAGCAACAGCATAACTATTATGGTAGAAGATCCTCATTCTTTCTGCCCATGGTGTGATAAACATTACAGGTTGAGCATTCCAAATCTGAAAATTTGAAATCCAAAATGCTCCAAAATCCAAAACTTTTTTTTTTTTTTTGAGACAGGGTCTCTCTCACTCTGTTGCCCAGGTGGGAGTGCAGTGGTGCATTCACAGCTCCCTGCACCCTCGACCTCCCAGGCTCAAGTTGATCCTCCTACCTTAGCCTCCTGAGTAGCTGGGACCACAGGCAGGCGCTGCCATGCCCAGCTAATTTTTTTGTAGTTTTTGTAGAGACGGGGGGTTTCACCATGTTGCCCAGGCTGGTCTTGAACTCCTGGGCTCAAGTGATACACCCACCTTGGCCTCCCAAAGTGTTGGGATTACAGGCATGTGCCACTATGCCCAGCCCAAAACTTTTTGAGAGCCAACATGACACTCAAAGGAAATGCTCACTGAAGCATTTCAGATTTTCAGATTTGGAATGTGCAACTTCTAAGTATAATGCAATTATTCTAAAATCCAAAAAAATCTGAAATCCTAAATACTTCTGGTCCCAGGCATTTTGGATAAAGAACACTCAACCTGTATATAGAAATCCACCTCCTCAACTCTTAAGAACCCTGAGGCCATCCCCAAAGACTTACCTGGTATCTTTTAGGTCCTATGGCAGCCATCCAGATGCCCATGCTTACATCTTCACCCTATACATGGCCCATAAAGTTTAAATGTAAAAATTTTAATGCTATTTTATTTGTAAAGACAAAACCATAGCCACTCCCATCATAAACCACCTTTCTACTTTTTTGCTCTGTTATTATTCTAATATGAAATAGCAAAAATGGGTTCACATGAAGTCAAAGCTAGTGGTCTTTAATATGAAGCACCCCTGCCACAAGGTAATAAGATGAAACCGCGAGCAGACGACCCATCCTTCTCATGTACCTTAAGCTTCCAGGAAGCACTTAGGGCTTCCTCCTTAGGAATAAAAATCTTTCTATTCCTCCAGGGACTATACTTTTTTTTTTTTTGAGACAGAGTGTCCCTCTGTCGCCCAGGCTGGCATGCAGTGGCGCAATCTCAGCTCACTGCAAACTCCGCCTCCGGGTTCACATGATTCTCCTCCTCAGCCTCCCAAGTAGTTGGGAATATAGGTGTGCGCCCAGCTAATTTTTTGTATTTTTAGTAGAGATAGGGTTTTGCCATGTTGGCCAGGCTGGTTTTGAACTCCTAACCTCACGTGATCTGCCTGCCTTGGCGTCCGAAAGTGCTACAATTACAGGCATGAGCCACAGTGCCCAGCCTCCAGGGATGACACCTGTAAATACTAGCTGAAAACATAATAAGTAGGCTCAAAAAAGATTTAGGAATAGAATTTAAAGGCAAGATTTGAGGGATGTAGGGGTGCATCCTTAACCTTTGAGAGGTGATTCCTATACAGAGAATAACGTGCTTTTCCCCAAGGTAAGTGGGTTCTGCTTTCCATGATGGGATGCCGAGTGAGATGAAACTTGGTGTGATGAGTGTATACGTAGGTGGGAAATCCTTAATTTTTTGTTTTTATTTTATTTTTTATTATAGAGATGGGGTCTTGCTATGTTACCCAGGCTGGTCTTGAATTCCTGGGCTCAAGTGATCTACCCGCCTTAGCCTCCCAAAGTGTTGTGATTACTGGCAAGAGCCACCACGCCAAGCTAAGAAATTCTTAATTACCTGATAGGTCTTTAACCTCCCCGAGTTGCTTGCCAGCCACTTGACGATGTCCTTGGAGATCACATATCCTGACCCACATGCAAAGGCAGGGTAAGCGGGGCTCGGGTACTCCAACTCCTGCCACTTTCCGGTTCGGTCAACTGCCCAATTCAGTCTGAAACTGAGATGAAAAATAATGTGGCCTCTTGTGTTAGTCTGACACATATCCTGCCACTATTAAAACTTGACTCCTTTATCATCACTACAAAGGAATAAGCTTGTAGAAGTGAGGAAAGAAAATAAGAAAATTTCTTTTTTTTTGAGATGGAGTTTTGCTCTTGTTGCTCAGGCTGGAGTGTAGTGGTGCCATCTCGGCTCACTGCAACCTCTGCCTCCTGGGTTCAAGCAATTCTCCTGCCTCAGCCTCCCGAGTAGCTGGGATTACAGGCGCACACCATCATGACCAGCTAATTTTTTATATTTTTAGTAGAGACAGGGTTTTGCCATGTTGTCCAGGCTGGTCTTGAACTCCTGACTTTGGGTGATCCACCCTCCTCAGCCTCCCAAAGTGCTGGGATTACAGGCGTGAGCCACTGCCCTTCCAGAAAAAAATTTTCTTAATCTAAGGAAAGGAATTATCATTTATCCAGTGTTGTTTTAGATAAAAGATTGGTTATGTTAAATTTTCTCAAAGTTGCATTTGTAGAGTTTCTGAATGAAAAGCACTAGAAGATCACCCTGTGTTTTAGTATATATGAAAACAAAAAACCAAATCACTAATCCATATTGTATTCCTGAGGAAGCACAGAAAATGGTTTCAGAGACGTGTCACAAACGTACTCTAACAAAATATACAGTAGCTTCTAATGTGAATACCATTTATTTCTTTGGCATAAGAATAAAAGCCATATTGTTTTCCCTCCTTTACTACATTAGCCTGAGGCTTTTCATTTAAAAAATAATTTCCTCCAATTGTACAGTAATATAAAATTTATTATTATTATTAAGACAGGGTCTCCCTCTGTTGCCCAGGCTGGAGTGCAGTTGCAAAATCATAGCTCACTGCAGCCTCCAACTCCTGGGCTCAAGCAGTCTCCCTGCCTCAGCCTCTCAAGTAGCTAAGGGCTACAGGCTCACATCACCTTTTTAATTTTTTGTAGGGACAGGGTCTTGCAACGTTGCCCAGGCTAGTTTTGAACTCTTGGCCTCAAAGGATCCTCCCACCTCAGCCTTCCCAAAACTCTGGGATGACAGATGTGAGCCAGCATGACTGACCTAGAGTAATGAAATATATATAAACCCAGGAGTCTAGTACGAAATTGTATATCTCAACCACATTTTCAAAAAAAAAAGATATTTTATGCTTTATTAATTACATTTGATCAGGTACACGAATGCCAATGGGCTAAGAATGGTTAACTTACTTTCCCCACCAAAAATTAGGCCCATCCAGATTCTTTTGGACAATCCTATTAAATACAGCTTCGAGGTCTATGTAACAGTCATCATCTGTCTTCAGCAACAAATTGAAGCTCGTTGTTTCCACAGTCCTGTTGACACAAAAGGGATAAGAAAGTCAGTGCGACCAAACAAACAAACACCAATGCAGTGGCGTCACTAACACTTTCATTCAAAACTGTACCTGTCATTATCTAAATTTCTTATTCCTCAAATGTTGAGAACATTTGCTCTAACAAAATTTTGCTGCTATCAACTAAGGCCATCACTTGGTCTTTACTAAATGGCATAACACAGAGAAGTACTAACCTGATTTTAAAAGGCAAAGAAAGAGCATATTGAAGGAAAATATCTGGCTTAAATGGAACATATGTTCAAACAAATGCTTCTTAGGCATCATTCAACTCCTGCTGCCAAATCTATTAAACGCCTGAACCTTGCCCCGTGTGTTCTTAATAACAAAGGCCCAGCATAATGAATTAGGTGTTACATCTGGGCCTCTCACACAGAACGCTATTGTACAAGATGCATCCGATGCTATTTATATTACACTCAAAATATTTTATGGCTTAAAAAAACCTGACTTATTACATTGAAACATATTTTCCCTTGGAAACAACTTCTAGCAATTAAACCATTATAAATGACCTTCTGGAAGGCAAAGGATAGTGACTTCATTATCTAGACGTAAAATATATAATCATGACTAAAGACAAAATTGACTCCTTCATTTCACATTGACAGTCCCTGTACATCTGTTTAAAAATGCAGTTTTGCTAGGGTGCCAGTCATATGTCAGAAATCTCAATAAAATAAATTTAGAATTTCATTAGGTCCAAGAATGGTGAATTTAACAATAATGGGTCCACACCAAATAGCATCACCCCATGTTTCTAAAGTTTATTTCCAATTAACAGCAGAAGGCATACATAATATTTGCTAATTAGAAATTTCATGATAAAGAATATTTAGGTCACTGATAACTGAAATAATGAGGAAGAAATAATGAAACTCATTTGTAGTGTGGAGATGGGTGATGCCAGCTATGGGGACGCAGGTCCCAGATCAGAGTCCTGTTGAAGGTTACTGCAGCGATCCAGGGAGAGAAGGTGGCAGCCAACAATAGCGGCAGCGGAGACTAAGGGAGAGGCTAAGATACTTCCACGCCTAGGAAATATCTTGCTCTAAAGAGTATCCGGGGCTGACTCTTAGCCCTGACTTCCCACCCTCGGGACTTCCATGCCCATTCCTCATCTCAGCCTCACCTACAATTGCAACTCTCATTTGCGGCCCCAAATTAAAAGGAGGTTCTTTTTCTTACTACAGCTGCCTAAACTTAACCTAGTATTCGACACACCCAGATTTCCAACCCTCATTTACCTCTGCTCTCTACTCACAGGATGAGTCCCAAATTATATTAATTTGCCCCAGCAGGCCAGGTGTGGTGGCTCACGCCTATAATCCCAGCACTTTGGGAGGCCAAGGCAGGAAGACTGCTTGAGACCTCATTTCTATTAAAAAATAAATAAATAAATAAATAAATAAATAATTTGCCCCAGCTAAGAAACATTACCTTCCATAAACCAATTAGACCATCTACCCCTCAGGACCAGGGAACTGTATCCGTAAAGTACTGTTCTTGGTAACTTCCCACTCTGCCTAGGGCAACAGAGAAGAAAAGAAAGAGACAGACCCTGGGCCTCACACCAAGGAACAGAAGAAGGTTTTTAAAAATAAAAGTGAAAAAAATAAAAAGTGAATACCCTTTATAGGTTTGGCCTAATCAGAGATAGGTTTGAAAGTTTTGGCTCCATGGTCAGGACAGACAGTACCAGGAAACTCAACATAAAATTTTGAGATCCTAGAGTAACTAATAATTCTAATAACTATACGTTAAGATTATATAGATATATAATATGTATGTTACTATTATTATATATTGTTGCTGTTATTCTTGTTATAAAAGTAGGAATTAAAAGTAAGTTCCAAGAAACACTGGAGGGTCTGGGAAATTATAAATATGATAGATTCTGGGAGTTGTGGAATTTTAGTAAGCCAGCCACATAAGAGTTTTAGAATCAGGGAGGTAGTTTTTAAACGGATGGAGTAGAGACTGGAAGTATAAGGTGGATATTCAGTAGAAGAGAATGCCTATCAGTAACCTAAATGTGAGTGACTATAACTGGGGAATCTGGGTAGGTGGGTATAAATACAACTAAAAATGGACCATTCCCAAACTCACTGATTTTTATCTAATGCTGGCTTGAGACAACCGAGGCAAGCAGAAATGACTCAAAATGAATCAACTTTTTTTTTTTTTTTCTTTTTTTTTGAGACGGAGTCTCACTCTGCTGCCCAGGCTGGAGTGCAGTGGTGTGATCTTGGCTCACTGCAACCTCCGCCTTCTGGGTTCAAGTGATTTTCATGCCTCAGCCCCCCTGAGTGGCTGGCATTATAGGCGCTCGCCACCACACTTGGCTAATTTTTGTATTTTTAGTAGAAACAGGGTTTCACCATGTTGGCCAGGCTGGTCTCAGACTCCAGATCTCAAGTGATCTGCCTGCCTTGGCTTCCCAAAGTGCTGCCGGCAGGCATAAGCCACCAGCCAATTTTTGCCGTGTTTTTGATAGGTTAATATCACATTGTGGATCTTTATCAAAATAAAGTGGCAGCATCTTAGAAGCTCAGTTTTCGCAAGGAACTGGGATACAATAGGTCATATCCCAGGTGCTCAGTGTCCTTAGGTTTGTTTTTATTTGCTGAAATCTCAGTGGTTTGAAGTTGATAAATTGTCTCGATAGCAAAAGAACAATAAGGCACAGTGTCATGTGCCTGTAATCTTACCTACTCAGGAGGCTAAGGCAGGAGGTTTGCCTGCACTCAGGAGTTCAAGACCAGCCTAGGAAACCCCTAGTAAGGGGTTTCCTTACAGCCTAGTAAGACCCCATCTCAAAAAAAAAAAAACTAACAATAAAACAAGTTCTAGCTACCCAACATTTTTACAACCTACCATCTATAGAAGTTCAATAATTTTGCAGGAACATTACGATAAGTGTCGACAACATCCACAAAAACAATATCATCATAGATGCTGCTTTCCTCCTTCAGTAAGGCATCTTCCTCATGGAGATTCCTTATATGATCAATAAGTCTTTGAGGGCGAGAATGAAGGTTGTGTAAGAGAGCATCACCTTCTATAAAGGAAAAGTTGAGAGTTGGAGAAAAATGCTGTTGTAAAGTTACCATTCAGAACTGATGATGTACACTAAAGTTCTTTTCCCAAGGTAACCCAGCAGAAACACATGCAGTTGTTTGGAACTTTAGGTAGAAAAATGGGAACTCTCATACACTGCCAGTAGGATTAAGTGGATGCTCCCACTCTGGAAAGCAATTTGGCAATATCTATTTAGGCTGAAAATGTGTACACCTTATGGTTCAGTTGAGGCCACTTGTAGATATATCCCTACTAACATTATTTCACATGAGGATATTAATTACAGCATTGTTTGTAATTGTGGAAGAAAAATGGGACCAACCTAAATGTCCACTGAGAGAAAAAAAAAAAACAGCCAAGTTGTGGTATATTCACATAATGAAATATAGCAGTTAAAAAAATTACCCTGATCTTGCATGTTAAAAGGATTGGGATGAAAAAATAAAGTTGAGTGAAAATTGCCAAGTGATAAATACAATATGACACCACAGATATCAATTATAAAACACTCAAAACTATGTTATTTAAAGACATGGTCAGGCGTGGTGGCTTATGCCTGTAATCCCAGCACTCCGTGAAGCCGAGGGAGGAGAATCGCTTAAGCCCAGGAGTTTGAGATCACTCTAGGTTATATAGGGAGACCCCATCTCTAAATAAAATTTAAAAATTAGCCAGGCATAGTGGTGCATGCCTCTGGTCCCAGCTTCTTGGGAGGCCAAGGCAGGAGGATCCCTGGAGCCCAGGAGTTCAAGGCTGCAGTGAGCTATGATTACACCACTGAACTCCATCCAGCCTAGGCAACACAGCGAGACCCTGTCTCAAATAAATAAATAAATAAAGAGACGTAAATATGTTCAAAGTAGAAAAATAAGAATGGGAAGGGTACACATGAATTTTAGGGAAGTGGCACCCCCTTTGAGGAGAGGGAAGAGGAATACATCTAGGGAGAACCACAAGGAAAAGGTTTCAACTGTACCTACAATGTTTTCTTTTTTTTCTTTTTTTGAGACAGAGTCTCACTCTGTTGCCCAGGCTGGAGTGCAATGGCATGATCTTGGCTCACTGCAACCTCCACCTCCCAGATTCAAGTGATTCTCCTGCCTCAGCCTCCCGAGTAGCTGGGATTACAGGTGTTAGCTACCACGCCCGGCTAATTTTTGTATTTTTAGTAGAGACGGAGTTTCACCATGTTGGCCAGCTGGTCTCGAACTCCTGACCTCAAATGATCCACCTGCCTCAGCCTCCCAAAGTGCTGGGATTACAGGCGTGAGCCACTGCACCAGGCATATAATGTTTTCTTTCTTTCCTCTTTCTTTTTTGTTTTTGAGACACAGTCTCACTCTGTTGCACAGACTGGAGTACAATGGCACGATCTCAGCTCACTGTAATCTCCACCTCCCGGGTTCAAGCATTCTCCTGTCTCAGCCTCCCTCATGAGTAGCTGGGATTACAGGCGCCTGCCACTGTGCCCAGCTAATTGTTTGTATTTTTACAAACAATTGTAAAAATTGTTTGTAACAAGAGGCAGGGTTTTGCCATGTTGGCCAGGCTGGTCTCGAACTCCTAACCTCAGGTGATCCACCTGCCTCAGCCTCCCAAAGTGCTAAGATTACAGGCATGAGCGACTGTGCCTGGCCATGTTTTATTTAAAAAAAAAAAAAAAAAATTAGAAATGAATAAGAAAAAATGTAAATAAAAAATTGTTAATTCTGAGCACTGGGTACCTGGCTGTTTCTGTACTATTTCTGGTGTATTTATGATTATTTCCTTTGTTTTTTTTTTTTTGAGACAGGGTCTTGTTCTATCACCCGGGCTAGAATGCAGTGGTGTAATTATAGCTTACTGCAGCCTCAACTTCCTGGGCTCAAGTGATCCTCCCACCTCAGCTTCCCAAGTAGCTGGTACTCCCGGCACCTGTCACCATACCCAGGAAATTTTCAAGTTTTTTGTAGAGATGGGGTCTCGCTATGTTGTCCAGGCTGGTCTCTAAATCCTGGGCTCAAGAGATCCTCTTGCCTCCCAAGTTTCTGGGAGCCTCCCAAAGTTCTGGGACTACAGGCGAGAGCCACTATGCCTGGCCATGATATTTCATAATAAAAATGATTACTAATGTGCTTAAAAGACAATTTATTTGCCACTTCACAAGTTAATGAGTCACTTGTCACGTGTGCAGGGACTGTCCCCAGATCCTACTGATTTAAGGCAATTCTTTCGCTGTGGCAGGAGACGTCAGGATTTCCTAAAAATGTCTCAATCAAATTAAAGAAAAATTTTGAAAAATACAAAGAAAATGAGCTGCTGAGGGTGGCAAAGGAAATGAAATACAATTTAGCACTGCACTCTTTGTCACTGCAAATGGAAAGGATGAGGTGGGAAGCTGAAGGCCTATATCTGACTTCTGCCTCTCATGACTTGTGAGATACTGGACAAGTTCTGTTGTCTCTAGACCACAGCAGTCTCACCTGTAGAAAATGGTGCTGGATTCAATCAGTGATTCTTGGGAATGCTTGCTGAAATGCAGATTCCTGGGCCCCAAGCCTAAAGATTCAGTAGGTCTGGGGTGGAGCCCAGGAATCTATTTTTTTTCCTTCTGCACCTGCTCCCAGGAATCTATATTTTTAATGGCCACTGCTGCGACCCTGATGCAGGTAGGCAGAACACAGACCAGCCTTTGAGAAACACAGGGGTAGATGACCTCCTGTTTTTTTTTTTTTTTTTTTTTTTTTTTGAGATGGAGTCTCACTCTGTCACCCAGGCTGGAGTGCAGTAGCGCTATCTCGGCTCACTGCAACCTCTGCCTCCCAGGTTCAAGCGATTCTCCTACCTGAGCCTCTCGAGTAGCTAGGATTACAGGCGTGCGCCACCATGCCTAGCTAATTTTTGTATTTTTAGTATAGATGGGGTTTCACCATGTTGGTCTGGCTGGTCTCGAACTCCTGACCTCGTGATCCACCTGCCTTGGCCTCCCAAAGTGCTGGGATTACAGGCATTGAGCTACTGCACCTGGCCTGACCTCCTGTTTAGACTTACAATTTTTGGACTTTACGATAATGTAAAAACAATATGTGTTCACCAGAAACCATGCTTTGAGTACATATGCAACCATTCTGTTTCTCATGTGACTACAGTCTTGTGAGATGTTCAACCTTTATTATGGAATAGGCTTTGTGTTAGATTATTTTGCCCAACTGTGGGCTAATGTAAGTGTCCTGAGCAAGTTTAAGGTAGGTGAGGCTAAGCTATAACATTCGGCAGGCTAAGTGTATGAAATGCATTTTCAACATACATTTTTAACTTAACATGGGTTCAACAGGATGTAACATTGTAAGTCAAGGAGCATCTGTATAATTTAACACTTGATGGAAAGTGAAAGTGTTATAAAATTGTAACAGGAAAATGGCTTGTAACAACAGGAGTGCAGAAATTAAATACAAGCCTTTTAGACTAGTAACACATTTTGTTTCACTGCATGTATCTGAAAAATATGAGCATAAATTAATATGTCAGGAAAATGAAAGGATGTCTGCTTTTGCCACTTCTATTCAACATACATGTTCTAGCCAGGACAATCAGATAAGAAAAAAGGCATCCAGATTGAAAAGGAAGAAGCAAAACTCTCTCTTCTTACAGATGAAATGACCTTGCATGTAGAAAATCATAAGGTCTAACTTTAAAATGATTAAGTAATAAATACATGGATCTGTTCAGCAATGTTGCAGCACACAGATCAATCACAAAAACAATCTGTATGTCTATATACTCGCAATGAACAATCTTAAAATTAAATTAGAAAAACAATTCCACTTACAACAGCATCAAAAAGATAACATAAGTATTTAATAATTTAACAAAAGAAGTGCAAGACTTTTATACTGAAAAATCAAACATCATTGAAGGAAATTTAATAAGACATGGATGTTCAAAGACTTAATACTGTTAACACGGCAATACTCCCCAGGTTGATCCACAGATAGAATGCAATCCCTGATGGGAATGTGAACTAGTACAACCACTATGGAAAACAGTGTGGAGATTCCTTGAAGAACTAAAGGTAGATCTACCATTTGATCCAGCGATCCCATTAGGAAAGTAAGTCATTATATGAAAAAGATACTTGCACATGCATGTTTATAGCAGCATAATTTGCAACTGCAAAAATATGGAACCAGCCCAAATGCCCATCAATCAATGAGTAAAGAAAATGTGGTATATATATATATACCATGGAGTACTACTCAGCCATAAAAAGAAACAAAATAATGGCATTCACAGCACCTGCGTGCAGTTGGAGGCCATTATTCTAAGTAAAGTAACTCAGGAATGGAAATCCAAACATCGTATGTTCTCACTCATAAGTGGGAGCTAAGCTATGAGGATGCAAAGGCATAAGAATGATACAATGGACTTTGGGGACTTGGTGGGGACAGGGTGGGAGGGGGTAGGAATAAGACTACACACTGGTTACAGTGTACACTGCTTGGGTGATGGGTGCACCAAAATCTCAGAAATCACCGCTAAAGAACTTATTCATGTAATCAAACACCACCTGCTCCCCCAAAACCGATTGAAATTATATATTTATTCATATATATGCATATATATATATGCAATCCCTTAAAACATTCCAGCTAGGTTTTCTTTTTTTTTTTTGCACAAATTAACAAGCTGATCATAAAATTCATATGGAAGTGCAAGAGACCCAGAATAGCCAATCAAGCTTGAAAAAGAACAAGGTTGGAGGATTCACATTTCCTAATTTCTTTTTTTTTTTTTTTTTTTTTTGAGACGGAGTCTTGCTGTCACCCAGGATGAAATGCAGTGGCAATCTCAGCTCAATGCAACCTCTGCCTCCCAGGTTCAAGCGATTCTTCTGCCTCAGCCTCTGGAGTAGCTGGGATTACAGGCGCCCGACACCATGCCTGGCTAATTTTTTTGTATTTTTAGTAGAGACAGGGTTTCACCATGTTGGTCAGGCTGGTCTCGAACTCCTGACCTCGTGATCCACCTGCCTCGGGCTCCCAAAGTGCTGGGATTACAGGAGTGAGCCACCGTGCCCAGCCTCCCAATTTCAAATCTTACTAAAAAGCTACATAATCAAGACAGTGTAGTACTGGTTAAAGACGCAGACACATAGATCAATGGAATAGAATTGAGAGTCCTCAAGTAAATCCTTACATCTACAGTCACTGATTTTCAACAAATGGGTGCTGGGACAACTGGATATCCACATGCAAAAGAATGAAGTTAAACCTCTATTTCATGCCATATATGAAAATGAACATGGATCCAAGACCTACGTATAAGTGCTAAAACTATAAAACTCTTGGAACTGTAAAACAAAGGCACAAATCTTTGTGACCTCACATTAGACAATAGTTCCTTACATATGACAGCAAAAACATGTGACAAAATTGGACTTCATCAAAATTTACAACTTTTGTGTGTTAAAGGGCACCATTTGCAAAGCATGTATCTGATAAGGGACTTGTATCCAGCATATATAAAGAACTCTTACAATTCAACAATAAAATAATTTTATAAATGGGCAAAGGATCTGAATAGATATTTCTCTAAAGATATACAAATGACTCTCTCTCCCCTCCTTTCCTCCCTTCTTCCCTCCACCCCTCCCTCCCTCACCACCTTCTCCCTCTCTCCACCCCTTCCTCCCTCACTTCCTCCCCCTCCTCCCTCCCTCACTTCCCACATCTAGTTCATATACCATAATAATTCACCCTGTTAACAGTGTGCAGCCTCAGCAATATGACAAAACCCTGTCTCTACAAAACATTTAATAATTAGCTGGGCATGGTGGCATGCACTTGTAGTCCCAGCTATTCGGGAGGCTGAAATGGGAAGTTCACTTGAGCCCGGGGAGGTCAAGGCTACAGTGAGCTGTGATCATGCCACTGCACTCCAGCCTGGGCAACAGAGTGAGGCCTCGTCTCAGAAAAAAAGAAAAACAACGAAACAAAAAAGGAAGATATACAAATGGCCAATAAGCACATGAAGAAAATGCTCAACATCATTAGTTATTATGGAAATACGAATAAAAATCACAATGAAATAACAATTTACACCCACTAGGATTGGTATATTTTAAAAGACAGACAATTTATTAAGTGTTGACAAGAATATGGAGAAACTAGAATCCTCATATACTGACTATGGAAATGTAAAGTGGGCTGCTGCTTTAGAAAACAACCTGGCAGTGCCTCAAGTGATTAAACACACAATTATATGACCCAGGTCTTCTACTCCTAGACATTTAAGAGAAATGGAAATATATGACCACACAAAAACTTGTACCTACATGTTTACTACAGAATTATTCATATTCAAAAAGTAGAAGCAATCTAAATGTCCATCCATTAATGAATGAATAAAATAGGGCATATCGATGCAATAGAATATTATATGATCATAAAAAAGAAGTACTGATACATACAAAATGGACAGACCTGGAACACATGTTACAGCAAAGAAACTGACACACAGAGTACGTACTGTGCATTTCCATTTATGTGAAATGTTCAAAACAGGCAAATCCATAGAGAAAGAAAGTGCATCAGTAGTTGTTAGGGGGTGGGGGGTTGGGGAGGTAAGAATGAGGAGTAACTGCTAATGGGTGTGGGGTTTCCTTTTGGGAGGTGGAGCCGGTTGTAGAACTCTAAGAATACACTAAAACCACTGAACCACTTTAAAAGGGTGAATTTTATCTGAATAAAGTTTTTTAAAAGACAAAAAAGAAAAAATCCTTTTCTCTCAAGTATAAAGATTAAGTATAAGACATTCAGTGTACTTTTCAAGTTTCAACTAGCAAACTTACCCTGAATAGTATATATAAAACCACCTGCAACTCCCTCCACACCTTCCAAGAATTCATGAGGCAATGCACCCTCCCCAGCCTGAAAGGAATAAGAATGTACTCAGTGATTCATTACTAAAAATACACTGATCATATTTTAAAATCGATTTGACAAAAATCATAATATGACTCCACTTGCAGCAGATAAATGCATGTAAGATGCTGGTGCACTGGAGGCTTATAATATCAGGATGACATACGGTATTCTACTATTTTTGTTATCTAATTACAATACTAAAGATAAGATATACCCAACATTCCATAAGGTGTTCAGAATTGCAACTTACATAGAATCATGTTTATGTACTTGCTACTCTAGTAGTACAAAAAGCAATTGATTTTACATCCCAACCCCACCACTTAAAAAAATATGTATTACGACCTTTGATTTTTTGGAAACTAAAAATTCTCATGAGTTCAAATACATCTTGGCATGCTTTAAAGTTAAGAGACCATGCAGAGAAAGGCTCAAAATTAACAGTCTGTTCCAAATATTCAAATTGAACTCTACTGTATATTGATTAAAAAAAAATTTTTTTTTAATTTTTAATTTTTCTTTTTTTTTTTTTTTCAAATAAGAGACAGTGTTTCACCATATTGGTCAGGCTGGTCTCGAACTCCTGACCTCAGGTGATCCGCCTGCCTCAGCCTCCCACAGTGCTGGGATTACAGGCGTGAGCCACCACACCCGGCCTAATTTCATTTTACAGACAGGGTTTCACTCTGATGCTCAGGCTGAGTGCAGTGGTGCAATGATATCTCATTCTAGCCTTGAACATACAATCTTCCCATCTCAGCCTTACAAGCAGCTAGCACTACAGGTGTGCACCACCATGCCCAGCTAATATTTATAAATTTTTTGTAGAGAAGAGGTCTCACTGTGCTGCCCAGGCTGGTCTTGAACTCCTGGGCTCAAGTGATCCTCCCGCCTCGGTCTCCCAAAGTGCTGGGATTACAGGTGTGGGCCACTGTGCCCAGCCTGTTGATGTTGTTGAAGGTGCTTAAGCCTATTGTGCCAGCAGCCAATGACAGTCCTTTCTACTTCTTAGAATGGAGAATCTTTTATTATTAAAGAGTTATCTCTCTTCAAAAGTTACCCAATGGCCTTACTCAGAGTGAACTGTTTTACTTCTGTATACAGTAAACCACTATGGTACATCTACCAGAGTATTGTCTGGCTGTTGTGGGCTAGATCAGACAGTTAAGAGTCCATACTCAGTGTATTTACAGTATTTTTTCTACACCTTCATTTAATCAAGAGAGCTACTGCTTGGCTATTCTTAAACAGATCTTTTCAGAGTTGTACTGTACAAAGCAATGTTTTAAGGCCAGTAGAACAAGTAATCTGAGGTCACTGTAGTAACTTGTCATTTAATTTAAAATATGTTTGTAGGCCAGGCGCAGTGGCTCACACCTGTAATCCCAGCACTTTGGGAGGCGGAGGCGGGCGGATCACGAGGACAAGACATCAAGACCATCCTAGCTAATACGGTGAAACCCTGTCTCTACTAAAAATACAGAAAAATTAGCTAGGCATGGTGGTGTGTGCCTATAATCCCAGCTACTCTGGAGGCTGAGGCAGGAGTATCACTTGAACCTGGGAGAAGGAGATTGCAGTGAGCCAAGACTGTGCCACTGTACTCCAGCCTGGGTGACAGAGTGAGACTCCATCTCAAAAAAATAAATAAAATAAAATAAAATAAAAGTTCGTAGCCAAATGTGAAAATTACTAAAGGGGCAGGCTATAGATTCCAACGTTGTAGTTCCATAAAAGACTGTATATGCTTTATTTGTTATTTACTTATTTACTTTTTTTTTTTTTTTTTTGAGACGAAGTCTTGCTCTTGTCCCCCAGGCTGGAGTGCGATGGCGTGATTTCGGCTCACTGCAACATCTGCCTCGGGGGTTCAAGCGATTCTCTTGCCTCAGCCTCTCAAGTAGCTGACAGTCGCCTGCCAGCACACCTGGCTAATTTTTGTATTTTTAGTAGAGACGGGGTTTCACCATGTTGGCCAGGCTGGTCTCGAACTCCTGACCTCAGGTGATCCGCCTGTCTCGGCCTCCTAAAGTGCTGGGATTACAGGTGTGAGCCACCGCGCCCGGCCTACTTATTTAGTTTTTTGAGATGGAGTTTCACTCTTGTCGCCCAGGCTGGAGTGCAATGGCGTGATCTTGGCTCACTGCAACCTCTGCCTCCCGGGTTCAAGTGATTCTCCTTTCTCAGCCTCTTGAGTAGCTGGGATTACGGGCATTAGCCATCACGCCTGGCTAATTTTTATATTTTTAGTAGAGACGGGGTTTCACCATGTTGGTCAGGCTGGTCTCGAACTCCTGACTTCAGGTGATCTGCCCAACTCAGCCTCCCAAAATGCTGGGATTACAGGCGTGAGCCACAGCACCCAGCCTATGCTTTATTTTTTATTGTATATTTCTATATTGTTTTGGCTTTAGAACTCAATAGTAATTTCTGTTTATTAACTTCTCTCTAAAAGGTCACAACTTGGCTTTTTGCCTTTAAAATTTTTCTGACATCACTTGCTGGCAAGGGAATAAAGCTTAGTGAAAACTCTCAGCTGTACGCATTTGTGATGAAAATCTTAATTTGTACCTGGGGTTTCTTAGCGTAGGCTTTAAAAAGTTACCTGGTTTTGTTTTTGTTTTTTTAGGTTAACTGTATGTTTAAGCTATCTTTAGCCCTCTATAATAATTTTTACTCCCAAAGGCAGATCATTTGAGTCTTTACATTTGAACCTAGTTCTCAACTCAGAAACCTACCTTTTTTTTTTTTTTTTTTTTTGCGACGGAGTCTCGCACTGTAGCCAGGCTGGAGTGCAGTGGCGCGATCTTGGCTCACTGCAACCTCCACCTCCTGGGTTCAAGCAATTCTCCTGCCTCAGCCTTCCGAGTAGCTGGGACTACAGGCACCCGCCACCACAGCCAGCTAATTTTTGTATTTTTAGTAGAGACGGGATTTCACCATGTTGGCCAGGCTGGTCTTGATCTCTTGACCTCGTGATCCTCCCACCTCAGCCTCCCGAAGTGCTGGGATTACAGGCGTGAGCCACCGCGCCCGGCCAATTTATTTCTTTTAGTGTAACCAATATTACAGAATTTTGGCATATGCTGGGTATTTTAAAGTTTCATAAATAGAAAAGGAGGCAAGATAATAAGGAAAGATATAATTCCATAAAACTTTCTATTTTCAGTAAAAAATTTTTCATAAGACTTAAAATGAACTTTAGTAAACAAGTGGTGTGTGTGTTTACTAAAGTAAACACCATCTTTATTGTCCTCCATTTACTTTATGAAATTTACCTGTCATAATAAATCCTAAATCCTAAACATGAATGAAATCCTAAACATGGCCTACAAATCTAAATGTATAACTACATATGAATCTATGGGTCTATTTGTTTAATGTCTTTCTTCCTCACTGGACTGTAAGTTCCACGGTGGGCCACTAGTATGTCTATTTTACCCTGCCATTGTTTCTGCCTTACCACAGGTATGCAGGAAATGTTTTTTGAATGAGTAATAACGTAGCATATATTCATTTCAACTCAGAAATTAATCCATGTAAATGAGGTTAATATTCATTCACTAAGCTTGTGAATTTAAATGCCAAGTACATTCCTAATCATTGGACAGGAGATCGAGGAGAATAAAAGATTGTCTATGATTCCACCGTACAGACCGTTTGTTTACTAAAGTTCATTTTAAGTCTTCATATACCTGCTTTATTGACCTATATTTACTTTGAGAAATTCACCTGTCAAACTGTTTTAAATTTAAAGCAAAGCCGAATGAGAAATATGAGAGTCAGAAATCCCAGAGTTGCTTCAGCAAAATAAATGAAAGTACTCAATCTTATTTTCTATTTTTTTTTGTTTTGTTTTGAGATGGAGTCTCGCTCTGTTGCCCAGGTTGGAGTGCAGTGGCATGATCCTGGCTCACTGCAACCTCCACCTCTGGGGTTCAAGCAATCCTCCCACCTCAGCCTCCCAAGTAGCTAGGATTACAGGCATGCACCACCAGGCCCAGCTAATTTTTTTTTTTTTTGGATTTTTAGTAGAGACGGGGTTTCACCATGTTGGCCAGGCTGGTCTTGACCTCCTGACCTCCAGTGGTCCACCCACCTTAGCCTCCCAAAGTGCTCGGATTACAGGCATAAGCCAGCACACCCCGCCTTATTTTCCAATATTTTTATCTATAGTAGTTTTTTTTGTTTGTTTGTTTGTTTTGAGACAGAGTCTCACTCTGCCACCCAGGCTGGAGTGCAGTGGTGTGATCTCAGCTCACTGGAACTTCTGCCTCCTAGGTTCAAGCAATTCTCATGCCTCAGCCACCTGAGTAGCTGGGATTCCAGGCATGCGCCACCATGCCTGGCTAAGTTTTTGTATTTTTAGTACAGATGGGGTCTTGCTATGTTGCCCAGGCTGGTGTTAAACTCCTGGCCTCAAGTGATCCACCTGCCTCAGCCTCCTAAAGTTCTGGGATTATTGGCATGAGCCACCGCACCTGGCTAATTATAGTATTTTAACTGAGGTTTTATTTTCAAGGTGAGATAGTAAATACTCTGAATACTACTGAGCAAGTATTCTTAAAGAATGCTAACTTAAAAATTACTGAGAAATAGGCCAGGTGCAGTGGCTCATGCCTGTAATACAGCACTTTGGGAAGCGTAGGTGGGCGGATCACTTGAGCCCAGAAGTTTGCAACCAGCCTAGGCAACATGGTGAAACCCCATCTCTACAAAAAACACAAAAAGTTAGCTGGGTGTAGTGGTGCGCACCTGTAGCCCCAGCTACATGGGAGGATTGTTTAAGCCAGGAGGTGGAGGCTGCAGTGAGCTGTGATCGTGCTAGTGCACCCCAGCCTGTGCAACAAAGTGAGACCCTCTCAAAAAAAAAAAAAAAAAGAGAAATAAAATATTGCATTTTAAAAATGCATCAATCTTAAAGCAAAACTGTAAACTCACTAATGCTGGAGTTACAGGATCATATTTGAGTTTTTGCCTTTACTATGAAGACAACAACATTTGCTACTATATATGTTGTAAAACACACAAGAATCATTGCTCCATGCTGCCTGGGCTCTAAGGTAAATTTTAGAACAATTTTATATATTAAAAAGAAGCTAAAATATGCAATTAAACCTTAAAAAAAAACGACTTACTGTAATGACTCTGAGAACTCCCCCTCCATCATTCACTGTCACTTTGTGGAGATTTCTTGACACAAGGCCGTGGAGGTCTTGGCTCTCCCACACGATTGTACCTTCAAAGCTCTTTTGTAGAAAGATGAATAGTGAGTCAATTTCCTTATTGCTGTCATTTAGGTTTTAAGTATGCTTTCAGGCAAGATTTTTAGAGAAAATTTTTCCCAAAACGTATCATTTAAAATTTTCACCCCATAACTCTGACATACCACTGTTAGCGTTTGGTGTGTATCCTTGACCGTTTTTTCCATGCACATATAAAAAACCAATTACAAAGAGTATATACACAATTTTGCATACTGCTGTTTGCCATTTCCCATTGTATCAAAAGCATTTCCTTATGTTGTTGCAGCTGTCACAGCCATTCTTCCTCATGTGTGTATAACATCCCAATGAGCAGATACACCCTGATTTACTCATTTTCCCCTACTATTAGACATTTGGTTGCTACTAAATGTCTACTAAAATATCTACTAAGTATCTACTAAAATAATGTAGGCATGTTTTGGTGTACATGTTTATTTACTCCTAACAATTTGTTTTGTACTTACATTCCCAGAGTGAAATTACTGGGACAAGAAAGAGATATTTTTATGGATTTTGGTATACACCGCCAACTGCTTTTTGAAAGCAACTTTTACTAATTTATAGGGTTATCAGCAATGTATGAGAATGACAACTGCACTGTATTCTCCCTGGTATGGGATACTAGTAAACAAAAGTTTAACCTAATATACTAGATTTTTACAAAATGATTCCTTATTTAGTTGGATTTATTTTTCAGTTTTTGACACAGAGCCTCGCTCTGCCACCCAGGCTGGAGTGCAATGGTGCGATCATGGCTCACTGCAACCTTCACTCTCCAGGTTTAAGCGATTCTCTTGCTTCAGCCTCCCGCGTAGCTGGGATTACAGGCGCTCACTATCACGCCCGGTTAATTTTTGGATATTTAGTAGAGACAGGGTTTCGCCATGTTGGCCAGGCTGGTCTGGAACTCCTGACCTCAAGTGATCTGCCCACCCTGGCCTCCCAAAGTGCTGGGATTACAGGCATGAGCCACGGCGCCCTGCCTGAATTTAAAAAAAAAAAAAAAAGATTGGCTTAGTTGGATTTCTGATTCCTAGTGATGTTTATGAATTGCATGTTCTCTTCTGAGGACTGCCTTATCATGCTGCTTTGCCATCTGCCCTCTGAGTTTTCTATTTTTCTTGTTCATCTATGCAAGCTTTTAATAAAGTAATTATCTTAATCCTGTGCACATTTTATATGCTAAAATAGTTTTTCATTTGCTACTTAATGCTATTTTTGAAATTCAGAAGTCCATAAATTTCACCTTGGCAAATCTGACAAACTTTTCCTTTGTGATTATTACTATTAAATTCTGAGCTGAGAGAGCTATGCCCCCCTGTCCCAAGGTCTGATATATATTGAAATCTTAATGTCTTCTAATTTCTCCATGATCCCATTTTTAATTCTGTGCACAGCTGGCTCCTTAGTCCTGCTCAGGTCTCAGCTCCACTACCTTCTCCTCCGAGAGGCTTTCTCCAGATGTCCTCCAGAAGGCTCCAACTCCCAACTTCTATCACATCAACCTGTTTTATCTTATTAATACCATTTATCACTCTGATATTTCTTATTTTATTTTATTATTAAACTAACTGCCTCTACTAGAAGACAAACACCTTGAGAACAGGAAGGAGCTTGCCTGATCAACCACTGCATCCCCAGCATCGAGCCTGGCCTGACATGACTGACAACTCAAAATGTTTGCTGAATAAATAATGTTGAACTAAAAATCAACCAGAATTGACTATAGTATAGAGGATTAAATGAAAGATATACCTCTAATACTCTAAAAACTTTCATGTTAAAATGAAGGGATAAAGTACTTTACAATAATGTCTCATTTTAGCCAGCAGTATAGGGAAACCATACAAAATTCAATTTGATAAGCTAGGTCAGTGGTTTATAAACATTTTTTTCCCTCTGCACAGAGTGATATAAACTTTTTCTTTTTTTTTATTTTTATTTTTTTGAGACGGAGTCTCACTCTGTAGCCCAGGCTGGAGTGCAGTGGCGTGATCTCTGCTCACTGCAAACCCCACCTCCCAGGTCCTGGTTCAAGTGATTCTCCTGCCTCAGCCTCCCAAGTAGCTGGGATTACAGGAATGTGCCACCATGCCTAGCTAATTTTTGTATTTTCAGTAGAGATGGGGTTTCACCATGTTGGCCAGGCTGGTCTTGAACTCCTGACCTAGTGATCTGCCTGCCTCAGCCTCCCAAAGTGCTAGGATTACGGGCGTGAGCCACCGCCCAACCTTTCCCTTCCTTTCTTTCCTTTTTTAAAATAAATAATATTTTTTTCCTCCTCCAAAACAGATAAAAATATTCCAAGAGTCCGGATTCCTCAGGCAGTTTATCGCTCTGTATTCAGCTAATGTATTTTCTTCTAAAACTTTAATAGTGATAGAGTTTGGAAGGATTGATAGCATATATACTTAGGATAAGGAACTGATAGGACTTGGTGAGTACCTGGACATGAGAGTGACGATAACTCTCATGATTCTGGTTTAGGTGACTTGAGGAAAAGGAGATGGTTACCCAAGATTAAAAATACAGGCGATGAGAACAGATGGGATGGAGACAATGTTACCATTAGAATGCCCATGGGACATTCAAGTGGAGAAGTTCAGGAGGCAACTCAAAGCATGTCTGGAGTTCACAAGAGATGCTGGGGCTGTAATTATAGATTTAACAGCCTTCAGCATACAGGCAGTAATGAATGAAATTGCCTGGGAAGAATGAGTAAAATAAAACAGAAGGCTAGGTAGCAAATCCTAATGATTAATATTTAAGAGGAAAGCAAAAAGGAAATAATGAATCATACCAAAAGTAAAAACTATAGTGACCAGATAAAAATCCTCACCTTGAAACTACAAATCTAGAAAAGATGATGATAAAACGAGTAATTCTCTGTACTGTCCATTCAATTGACATGACATGTGACATGCTATTTCACAGTGGGTCCTTCCTGGCACCCAACTCCATTTTGTCTGTGACTAGGCTATGATACAACAAACAAATTCAATGAATAATTGAATGTGTTACCAGAAAAATTCCCTAGTCCTCCCAAATCATCTTGACTTACTCATGGAACTTAAATAACCCATCAGCTGTTTTGTTACTAAGCAAGGAAGAAGCTTTATCTTCCACCTATCTCCTAAACCTGTTTCTGCTCCACAACACAGTTTAATTTCTATTCCTCACCTCTGCTCTCATACACCTACTTTTTATTCTGATGTAAGGCAATTATGAAGCCAGGTATCTCTTAAGATCCAAAACAACTTGTTTATGGCAATTCCCTTACTAAGATCATAAAAACCAAAATAAAAGTTGGGAAAAAATAGCATGATACAGGTTGGAAAAATGAGATATCATATCTATCTCTCCCATAACATAAGCAAGCTGTCTGTAACTCCTTTCACGCATCAACTCTTTTCCATAAAGCTTCTAATTTCTCATCCAAACAACAGAGTAGCTTAAATATATACAGTACTTCTGTGCCTATAAACATTAACAACTTCTTGTGGATTGGAGAAATGACTATATATAAAGAATTTCAACCTTCACAAAAAATAAGGATATAGGCTGGGCACGGTGGCTCACACCTGTAATCCCAGCACTTTGGGAGGCCGAGGTGGGTGGATCACCTGAGGTCAGGAGTTCAAAACCAGCCTGGCCAACATGGTGAAACCCTGTCTGTATTAAAAATAAAAAAAATTAGCCAGGTGTGGTGGCAGGCACTCGTAATCCCAGCTATTCAGGAGGCTGAGGCAGGAGAATCATTTGAACCTGGGAGGTGGAGGTTGCAGTGAGCCAAGATTGAGCCATTGCACTCCAGCCTGGGCAACAGGAGTGAAATTCTGTCTAAGGATGTAAGCGTCCATAATGCTAACAATAACGTCGCTAGTGACTTAGGTGAACAAAAATAGTCTGCTTTTTACTGAAATTAGTTACAGGTTCCAACTGTACCATTAAGGACAACATAAAATTAGAGACATATATATATATATATATATATATATATATATATATATTTTTTTTTTTTTTTTTTTTTTTGAGACGGAGTCTCGCTCTGTCTCTGTCACTCAGGCTGGAGTGCAGTGGTATGATCTTGGCTCACTACAACCTCTGCCTCCCAGGTTCAAGTGATTCTCCTGCCTCAGCCTTCTGGTAGCTGGGACTACAGGCATGCGCCACCACACCTGGCTAATTTTTTGTATTTTTAGTAGAGATGGGGTTTCACCATGTTAGCCAGGATGGTCTGGATTTCCTGACCTCATGATCCACCCGCCTCGGCCTCCCAAAGTGCTGGGATTACAGATGTGAGCCACCACGCCCAGCCAAAACATAAATATTTTAAGAGAAACACACAGTAGTCTTCACTTGTGAAGAATCACTTGTGACGCCCACTGAGATTTATGCTTCAGTGAGCTACACAATGAAAACCTTACAGGCGACCTGCTTACTGGACAAGCTATACTGGGGACATGTGACTCCAGGCAATCACCAAGTGTGGAGGGAATACGATGATGAACTTCCTCTCGCAAATGGAATACACTACCTACTTCTCTTCTGTTACTCTTTGCTGATGATATGCCAGCAAACAATCACTATCATTCTTCCGAGCAAACAAACCCAATCAGCCTTGATGCAGTAAAAAAAAGGATTTAAAATTAAACATATTTTCAACACAAATAGAATTTTGTACAACAGGAGAGAATTTTTTTAATTGCTAAAAGTTTATTTTTTCTTTCTATTATATAAAGCTAATATATGTTTATTATGGAACATTTAGAAGATAGATATACAAAAAGAAGAAAATTAAAATCATCCATAATCTTAGCTCCCCACCAGGTATAGCCACTATTAAATAATTGCTTGCTTTTTGTGTGTGTGGTTATTTTTGTTGTTTGAATAGGGACTGGGTTTCATCAAGTTGCCCAGGCTGGTCGTCTCAAACTCATGGGCTCAATGATCTGCCCGCCTCGGCCTCCCAAAGTGCTGGGAGGATAAGCCTGAGACACCACACGTGGCCTGCTTGTTTTTTAAAAGAAAAAATATTATACAAAATTAATAAAGGTAATAAAATCAAGTCTATTTAGCCTAAAGCCTGAAGGGAGATAAAAAGCACAAGGCTATAGTCATTAAAACTCTTAATAACTAGACCTGGTGGCCAGGCGCAGTGGCTCATGCCTGTAATCCCAGCACTTTGGGAGGCCAAGGCAGGCGGGCGGATCATGAGATCAGGAGATCAAGACCATCCTGGCTAACACGGTGAAACCCCGTCTGTACTAAAAATACAAAAAATTAGCCAGGCGTGATGGCACACGCCTATAGTACCAGCTACTCAGGAGGCTGAGGCAGGAGAATTGCTTGAACCCAAGAGGCAGAGGTTGCAGTGAGCGGAGATCATGCCACTGCACTCCCGCCTGGGTGACAGAGCGAGACTCCGTTTCTAAACAAACAAACAAACAAACAAACTAGACCTGGTGTGGTGGCTCAAGCCTGTAATCCTAGACCTTTGGGAGGTGAGAGGATTGCTTGAGGCCAGAAGTTCAAGACCAGCCTGCCAACATAGCGACACACCCATCTGTACAAGAAATAAAAAATTTAGGCCAGGCGTGGTGGCTCATGTCTGTAATCTCAGCACTTTGGGAGGCCAAGGTAGGTGGATCACCTGGGGTCAGGAGTTCGAGACCAGCCTGGCCAACATGGTAAAATCTTGTCTCTACTAAAAAATACAAAAATTAGCCGGTGTGGTGGCATGTGCCTGTAATCCCAGCTACTTGAGAGGCTGGGGCAGGAGAATCACTTGAACGTGGGAGGCAGAGGTTGCAGTGAGCCAGAATCATGCCAGTGCACTCCAGCCTGGGTGACAGAGCAAAATGCTGTCTCAAAAAAAAAAAAAAGATATAAAAAATTTAGTTGGGTCTGGTGGCAGGTGCCTGTAGTCCCAGCTACTCATGAGGTTGAGGTAGGAGAATCATTTGAGCCCATATGGTTGAGGCTGCGGTGAGCTATGATCATGCCACTGGACTCCTGCCTGGGCAGCAGAGCCAGAGCCTGTCTCAAAAAAAAAAAAAATAAGTAAATAAAAATTAGGGGAAAAAAAAGTCTTAATAACTACAAAGGTAACTCACTATTTTGGCTGAGTACTTCCCATCATTAGTACCCACTGCCAGATATACCATCCTGAACACAAGCAAGGAAGGTTAACCCCTCTCCCCCAACCCAATTTTTATTTTGAAAAGCTTCAAACCTATAGAAAAGTTCAAATCACCATTCAAATCACCTAGACTCACCAACTGTTCACATTTTGCCACATTTGCCTTTTTGCTCTCTCTCCACACACACTTTTCTGTTGTTGGATCACTTAAAAATACAGATATCATGAATTTTTAACTTTAAGTATTTCAGCATGTATTTCCTAAGAACAAGGACATTCTAAGCGAAAATAATATTTTTTATGAACTAATCAAAATTTGCAATTCTTTCTATAAGGCTGACCAAGATAATGGAACAGACTCCATAAAACTGCGATTAGCTTGAAGCATTAAAGTTCATTTTCTTCCTCTTTGCTGCACCCCATGTGACTTTCTTTTGGAATACAGTTTCTCAACCTCAGCACCAATGACATTTTGGGCCAGATAATTATTTGCTGGGGCGGGGGTGGGGTGGTGTCCTGTGGCTGCAGGATGTTTAGCAGAATCCCTGTCCCTTTACCCACTAGATGCCAGTATCACCCTACATCCAGTTTTAACAACTGAAAGTGTCTCTATACACTGCTCTGTGCGCGGAGGGCAAATTGCCCCTGGTGAAGAAACACTGCTCTTAAAGAATAGGACCCCCTCAATCCAGATGAGGAGTATAATGATAATGACAACATCTATTGATCTACTGAATGCGTGGCATATGGCAGCATGTTCTAAGCAGTCTACGTGTGTTAAATCATTTAGCCCCCAGAATAACCATCTGAAATGGGTGGTGTAGCACCTTCATCTTAGAGGAGGAAATAGACACAGTGAGATTAAGCACCTCATGTGAATGAACAAACCAAAGAATGGCTTCCTGCAAAAACTGAGATCCAACACTATGTATCTGAACCACTATTCTTTTTTTTGAGATGGCGTCTCTCTGTGGCCCAGGCTGGAGTGCAGTGTTGCAATCTTGGCTCACTGCAACCTGTCCCCCGGGTTCAAGCGATACTCCTGCCTCAGCCTCCCGAGTAACTGGGATTACAGGAGCCTACCACCGCACCCAGCTAATTTTTGTATTTTTAGTAGAGACGGGGTTTTGCCATCTTGGCCAGGCTGGTCTTGAACTCCTCACCTTGTGATCCACCCGCCTTGGCCTCCCAAAGTGCTGGGATTACAGGTGTGAGCCACTGAGCCCGACCTGAACCACCATTCCTGAAGTAAAAGGTAACTTTGATGGTACATACTGCACTTAAAAAGGAAAAAAGTTCATATGTGAAATTAATAAAAGGATGTAGGAAAACAGGCACTCTCATATATTGCTAATGATTGTTCACACTGATACAAATTGCTAAACTCCCCTCCAGGAAGGAATCATCTGACTTAAAAATGTGTATACCCTTCGACCCAACAATTCATCCTAAGAAAATAACCAGTTATACACATAAAACAGAGGTGCGGTGATATTTACTACAGTCTTTTCCATAACACCGAAAAATTGAAACTCTATCAACACCCAAATACAGAGTTAAATGACAATACTTTCATACAATGTAATTCTATATAGCCATTACAAATAATAGAGCACATCAAAAGATGTTCGTGATATGTTAAAGTAAGTAAATTATAAAGTAGAATGAACGGCATAATCCTAGCAACTATAACACATAGAAGCAAAAATGTTAAATGTGATTATCTCCAAATATGAGATTCTAGTAGTCTTGTTTTCCTTTAGCATATCTGCATTTTCCTTTTTTTCCACCCCTGTTTTAGTTTGGCTTTTATTTAAAAGTCGTTTTGTTTTTTTTAATTTATTTTTTGACTGCTTTTGCGGAGCAGGCTATCCTATAAGCAGTATGCTGAGAGTAGCGTATTCAGAAGTTTTTAAAATGGAGGTTCAGATACAAATGAAAAGGAGATCCCTTTGACACTGACAGAATTAACATATAGTTTCAACTACTTGTACTCAATTCCAAAGACCCATAGTATGTTACAAAAATGTGTGGTTCCTATTGCTGAACACATTGTGAATGGCACACCACAGAATGGGTAGGAAAAAGTTTCTTGGTTAGTCACCAGGGCCGGTCAGTTGTCTAGCCTCCACACCTTAACCCAGCTGAGATGCTGCGGGATGAACTCTATAGGTGATCTAAAGTGAATCCCAGAGATGTCTAGGAAACTGACCCCGATTGTGGTTCCAGAGCACTGAGTTCAGGAATGTACTCGGCCTAGACTAAAACAGCCTAGAAAGGCTGAAGCTGATGAATGAATAATTTGTTATGTCTGATCCTGATTCTGTCACACTCTGCGACCATACTGTGTGGCTTAACTCCAGGACTAATGAGGGCACCTGGCAGGCGAGGCATTCTTTAGTGCATATCTAGTTATGACTGGACCTAGAGGGACCCAGAAGGTGACAGGTACATTTTCAGGCTATCATCCACAACTGTTCACCCTTTGGAGAAATTTTATTTAACTTGGAAACATGGCCCATCTCTATCATTAACCTGTCTGCACTGACTTTTTTTTCTTTTCATTCTTTAGATAAGCAAATTATTTAATTTTTACCCAAATGGTATCTCTGTCTGGTCTTTCCATCAATCCACACCCAACATCATCCTTTGTCATTAAAACAATTGTGTAGTTCTCTACTCCACTAAATAAACTACGGAAACATGCAATGTTTTTCAAAAAGTGGTTTTGGAACCTCTGAGGCCTCATGAAGTCCTCAGGAGGTTTGAATACAGAGTGCTATGTTTTAGCCCATCCACAGTTGGTACCTTCATCTATCACTCTGGAGTGCTGCCCTGGTACAAGAAAATATCAAGTGCCTGCCCCTGAAAGCACACGCCCACTCCTATGAAGGACTGCATTGGTACTACAGTCTTTTCCTGCCATCCTGTACCTCTGGTAAGATGAATTGTTCCACGGGCTTGTACCACAGCTTGTTCACCTGCACACCACAGCTTGGAGGACTGAAGCGAGCAATGAAGAGGGCCTCCTACAAATTGGGAGAAAAAGACAAGAAAAAATACTTCATGTTATACATTGCATATGCAAAAAGTTTTCAAACACCTTACTTCTTGGTCAGCTAAATCCACAATGGCCCTAACCACGGTCACTAACATGGTTCTACTGTGGTTTTGGCATCACTGGGTTTTCTAGTGCAGTCATGGTTATTAAATAACGATATTTAAGGTAATCAAAGTTGTCACGAAATTCTCAAATGCTAAACATAATCCACATAACCTTAAAAAAAAAACCCACCTTGAAAGAAAAAATATTCAGGGAAGTGAGCAGTGTTGTTAAATTAAGCCAACACATTATAGTGTCAACACTCCCCCAAAGGGTTAAAACTAAACTGAAAGACACAGATTTTTACTGGGAACAAAAGCACTCAGGAAACTCCGTTCAAAAAGAATCTTCAGAAGAAAATATAAACAAAACAAAAAAGGGAATATAAAAGAGGACTGGAGCCAGGTGCAGTGGCTCACGCTTGTAATCCCACCACTTTGGGAGGCTGAGGCAGGCAGATCACTTGAGGTCAGGAGTTCCAGACCAGCCTGGCCAACATGTGAAACTCCAAATTTCTACTAAAAATACAAAAATTAGCTGGGTGTGGTGGCAGGCACCTGTAGTCCCAGCTACTTAGGAGGCTGAAGCAGGAGAATCGCTTGAACCCAGGAGGTGGAGGCTGCAGTGAGCCAAGACTGCACCACTGCACTCCAGCCTGGACCGCAGAGCCAGACTCTGTCTCAAAAAAAAAAAAAAAAAAAAAAAAAAAAAAAAAAAAAAAACCGGACTGATTTTCACTATGTCTATCGTTTTCTTGGGTTCTCCCATTTCTTCCAGGCAACATTTCCTCATTCTCATGCCTATTCTTATATACCAACTTAACCATAGGGGAAACTTCTGTTAAGCTCTTAAAACCATGCAGGGGTTCAAAATTAAGCACATTTCAATGGATTATGTCTATTTCTTTCATGAACACCAGTTCTTAGCAATGCAGTATAAGAATAGTTTTTGCATCGTGACTACCCATGAACCCATTAGCATCCATCTTAGACTAGTCCTTCCTTGAGGACAAAGATTAACTCCTCCCTGGTTAAAAATATGGCAACTAGAAGTTATATCGACATGATCAAAATATTGTATGTCTGAACCAAACTACTTGATTGATAACTCGCACACTATAAATAGTTTTGTTTTTTGAGACAGTCTCACTCTGTCACCTAGGCTGGAGTGAGTGGTGCAATCACGGCTCACTGTAATGCAGCCTCGACCTCCTGGGCTCAAGTGATCCTCCCACCTCAACCTACCAAGTAGCTGGGACTGTAAGCAAATGCTACCATGCCTGCCTATTTTCTTAATTTTTTGTAGAGATGGGGTCTCACTGTATTGCCTAGGCTGGTCTCTAACTCCTGGGCTGAAGCAATCCATCTGCCTTGCCCTCCCAAAATGCTGGGATTACAGGCGTGAGCCATTGCGCCTGGCTGATAGTTTTTTTTTTAAACTATATATACTAAGATAAACAAGTGTATCAAAAAAATTCAAGATTAATTCTAATTTCTAGATAACAGTGATACTCAGAGTACTGCTATTTCAATTACCTATTTGATCTTCAGTATCAATGAAACTGTTAACTACAATCATATATGGACTCCTATAGTTGAGTATACAAAGCTCTTCTCACTAATCATTATAGCTGGCATCATCAGTAGAAATCCTACTCTTCCCTCTGTCTTATATTTATGTCTATAAACACATCAACAAACGAGACAGATTATTTAGAGGAAGAACAGGGCAAATTCCAAAAAAGAAATTTAATCTCAAATTTATTTGTGTATTTATTGATGAGTCTCTAACATTATATTCATTGCTAATAATCAACATTAATAATACAAACACATTTTAAAAAACTGAACAGAGTTCTGCTGCCAGTAATATCAGACCAATTCTCCTATAGATAGTAACTATGAACTCTGGATGAAACATAAAAAACAATGATTTGAAGGCACTGGAATTCAAACAAACAGGCAGAAACTAGAGAAGAATCAGTACTTGGAAGAAGGAAAAGGCTCCAAATATGCATCTCCTCCCTACCCCACTTCTTGACTCTTTGTCTGAGGATACAACTCTAGGGTAACTAGAAATTTGAATGAAAATCTGTAGTCTTTCTGCTTGAAAATTAAGAGGACAGAGTTGGGGCAAACACATCAATTAATAAAAGGCATTAGGGGGAACCTCCCAGAAAGGAAAGGATCACAGAGAGAGAGAACCACAAATTCTTCATATAAACTCTACCCAAATCTGTGGCTGACTCATGAAATACACATACAAGGCAGAACCCAAGTAGCCCATCCAAGGCCAGAGAAACTGAATAGAGATTTTAGCTGTTTCTCACTGCAAGTGAGACAATGTTTAGTCTGTGTCCAGCCAATTTAGCTGCCTGCTAAAACAAAAAAAAAAAATCAATACTCTGAGGAATATAATAGGATCCAGAGTTCCTACAATGAATTATTTACAATATCTAGGATACAATGCATGAGTAGCATGTAGTCCCAGCTACTCAAGAGGCTGAGATGGGCGGATAGCTTGAGCCCAGGAGTTTAAGGCTGCAGTGAACCACGACTGTGCCACTGCACTCCAGCTCAGGTAAAAGAGCGAGACCCTGTCAAACAACAACAAAAAAACCGAAACCCAAACCAAAAAACCCCCCAAAATACTAGACATAAAACAGAAAAATGTTACCCATATTTTAGAGGAAAGATAATAATCAATAAAGACAGACGCTGAGATGACTCAGAATAAGCGTACACAGATTTTAAAGCTGCTGTTATAACTATGGTCAAAGCTGTAGAGAAAAATATTCTCAAACAATGAACACATAGGAAATTTTAGAGAAATAGAAACAGTAAAAAAGAACTAAATGGAAACTGAAGCACTAAAAAGTATAATATTTAAAATAAATCTAAAATAAAAAATTCATTGGATAGGCTTAACTTCAGATTTGAGATGACAGAAGAGTCACTAAACTTGAATACAGATGAACAGAAGTTATCTACATTAGAAAAGAGAAAAAACACTGAAAAAAATGAACAGTCTTGTGATCTGCAGGACAATACCAAAAGATCTAACATACATGTAACTGGAATCCCAGGAGGAATAGAGAGAGCGAGCGAAGTCAGAAAAGGTTCTGAAGACATTAATAGTTGAAAATCCCCCAAATTTGGTAAAATACATACATTTACAGATTGAAGAAACATGTAGCACGCCCTGAATAAAACAGACAAAGAAAAAGCACACCAGGCCTGGTGCGGTGCCTCACGCCTGTAATCCCAGCACTTTGGGAGGCTACTTGGGAGGCTGAGGCAGCACTCTGGGAGGCCGAGAAGGGCAGATCACTTGAGGTCAGGAGTTTGACACCAGCCTAGCCCACATGGCAAAATCCCATCTTTACTAAAAATACAAAAATTAGCCAGGTGTGGTGGCATGCACCTAGAATCCCAGCTACTTAGGAGTAATAAACCAAATACAGGAAAACGTTAATTGTTGTAGAATGTAGTTAGTGGCTATAGGGTTTACTGAATAATTCCTTCAAGTTTTCTTCATGTTTAAAACTAAAAAACAGATCCTTCAAATACATTTCCATGCTGCTACTTCACATGCACTCTGTGAACAAATCAGATTTCCCTACATATCGGGAATAGAGAAACCTCACTGGTTTTCTGTTTTCTGTAAAAGAATAACTTTTATTCCCTCTATATCCTTATTACAAAAAAGATTTGAAGCAGTTATTAGCCTTGTATTACAGACTTCTACAGTTGGAAGTAAGAGGCAATAATACTCACTTATCCTAAGAATCCTAAACTTTTTTTATATCCATTACCAACTTTTGAAATTCCCTAGGTTTTAGGGAATTTTAGGTTGGAGATTTCTAATCTAGTCAACTCCTTCTCTTCTAGATATAGCACATTTATTCACAGATAATCTATCCCCAAACCAGTCTTATATCACACTACAGTGTATTTAGTCAATAGGGGAAGAAAGGTGAAAGTCTCTCAACCAGAGAGAATTATATAGTCTTCCAATCTACTTACTGTATGTCACAAGGAAAAGTTGATGTTTTTGAAAAAGAAAAAAGAGAAAAAACCTGTACAGAGCAGTGCATACCTCTTGTTCTGCCTGATAAAGTTTGACAGTGATGTTCCTCTGGAAACCCACATCATTGGCATCGTAGAACACTCCAAGACTGGTAATAACGATGGGGTAGAGAACTCGGAAACTCACGCTGACAACTCGATCCTCAGGCAGCCCCGATGAAGTGTCTTCGGACAGACTGAACGCTTCAATTTCCTGATTCAAAACTAAGTAATGAGAACAGGTTTATATAACTGAACAAATGTAATCCTTTGTTTTACTAGTAAGAAGTAGTGAAGTGGGCTTAATGCCAAAACCTAGGTAATCATTTGCTATATAATTCACAAATGGCAGGAATTTTTAAAAAATGCTTGAGAAAAATGGCTGCTTCTATATAAACATTTTTGAAATTTAAGAATAAAGTTTTCAGCCACATCTAAGTAAGTTAATTATCAGAACTGCTTTAATAGCTTTTTGCATAAATGTGTGCATATATATGTATAAACGCCACAGGAGATATTAAATTTAAGTCAACTGGAAGGCATCTATTTGGAAGGGTTGGATAAATAGAAATAAGAAAAACAGTACTGACTGTAGTCATAAATAATCAGTAAATTTGGTCTTACTGTGCAAATTCCAAAAATCCTACTTCTTGTTAGGCAATTTAAAATACTTGTGATACATCAGGCAATTATTACGGTATAAATAAGCAACTGAAGTCACTTCAAATAACACTGAAAAACTCTTGCTGTACAGCACTGATAAAAGATAAGCATATCAAACACAGTTTTGAACCATCTTCTATGTACCATTTCCCATCACATTTATATCTTCACTACTACCCTTGTGGTTGTGGCATTATCTCCAGTTTACATATTAAGAAACTGAGGCCCAAAATTAAGCAATTCACCTAAGGTCATAGAAAGTGGCAGATCCAGGAATCAAGTCCCATTTAGTGATTCCAAAGTCAGTCCCCTTTCCACTCCCTCACAGCTGTCTAATCAGTGCCAAAACAGTTCAAATAATTTTTCTTTTATTTCTTTTTTTGAGACAGTCACCCAGTCACCCAGGCTGCAGTGCAGTGGCATGAACATGGCTTATTGCAGTCTCAACCTCCTTTGCTCAAGGGATCCTCCTGCCTCAGCCTCCTGAGTAGCTGGGACCGCAGGCACACACCACCAGGCCTTGCTAATTTTTTGTAGAGATGGGGGTCTCATCATGTTACCCAGGCTGGTCTTGAACTGCAATCCTCCCGCCTCAGCCTCCCAAAGTGCTGGGATTACAGGCATGAGCCACTGTGCCCAGCCTTCAAATAAATTTTCTAATTACCATAAATGAATCAGAATACATTAAATAAAGCAGTTCATAGGCAGGGAATATCAGTGCTACTTTAATAATATAAAACCCTATTTTAAAAGATTATATCAAAGTTCTTTGTATCTTTTAGAGCTGTGGTTTTCAAATTTTGCTGACTACACAACACCATCAGTTAAAAATATTTGTACACACACCTATTTACTTACAAAATATATGCATATATTGTGGTGAGTCTATATATTCAGTATTAATAAAGATTGTATTTTCTTATTTTCAGATAAATAGAAATTCTAAGCCTGGGCAACATGGTGAAACTCTGTCTCTACGATACAAAAATTAGCTGGGCGTGGTGGCACACACCTGTAATCCCACCTACTTGGGAGGCTGAGGCACGAGAATTGCTTGAGCCTGGGAGGAAGAGGCTGCAGTGACCTGAGATTGTGCCACTGCAGTGCAGCCTGGGCAACAGAGCAAGACCCTGTCTCAAAAAAAAAGAAATTACATTTTCTTCCTATACTCTAGGTCATTTGGTTGCCCACGTCAGACTTCCTAGAAGCTCTTTACACTCAGTAGATATTCAGTAAAATGGGATTAAAGGGAAGTGATGACTCCTACCTAATTATAGACATGAACAGGAGGGAAAAAAGGGAGAATACAGTTTTTTGTCATGGGCTGGGCAAGCACTAACTGGAGAGTCTAGACTACAACATAATGGACAACAATACAATTTTTTCTCTTTAAGATATTCAGTAAATAACAGATATCCATAGTAGAAACCTCTTTATTAAAAGCAATAAGTCAATTATAATATAGCATTTTTAGATATTTTCTTATCTAAAAGAATTGTGCCTTGAGCTTCAAGTTACGTGGACACAGGAAATCCCGTTGCATTACAGTGCTATTAAACCTTCTACCACAGCCACAGTATCACGATGATTAATGCTTACCATGACCTTCAGGTACTGAAATAACCATAACTGCCTTTGGATCATCGAAAAGATAAGATTAGGTTCAATATTAACTTAGTTATATACGCATTTAAAAATTCATAACCTAGGTATTACATATATGAAAATGTTCTTTTAACATAAAGTTCTACTTCTTTACTTTTAATAAATAACAGCACTTAAGATAATAAAAATATGGTTAATTTAAAAGTGAAGGGCTTCTTTTTGTTTTGGTTTGGTTTTCAATTGTAATTTGTTGGAGGATACATCAGTGGATACCACATCAGTGACATAACATTCTATGGGGTTTATGATCCCTTTAAGACTCCAGTGAGGCCAGGCGTGGTGGCTCACGCCTATAATCCCAGCACTTTGGGAGGCTGAGGGGGGTGGATCACGTGAGGTCAGGAGTTTGAGACTAGCCTGGCCAATGTGGTGAAACCCCATCTCTACTAAAAATAAGTCAGGCGTGGTGGCGGGCACCTGTAATTCTAGCTACTCGGGAGACTAAGGCAGGAGAATCGCTTGAACCTGGGAGGTGGAGGTTGCAGTGAGCCGAGATCGCGCCATTGCACTCCAGTCTGGGTGACAAGAGCGAAACTCTGTCTCCAAAAAAAAAAAAAAGACAAGACTCCAGTGAAAGCCAAAGGACTTTCTCCCCAGCACACAATTCATACATAAAATTTGCTTACAATGTTAACTGAATTCACAGACATCCTAAGTAAGAAACCTCTATTTTGTAATACAGACCTGAATATATTGTCCAATTTATTTAAAAAGCTGTTTGAAACCCAGCTTTATAAAATAGCAGGCTCTTTAAAATAATGTTCAGTACCTTCCACCTTCTAGGAACTATTATTCTAAATACATCATATGTATCAACTTATTTCATCCTTATGTCAATCCCCATGAGGGAGATTCTTTTATCCCAAGTTTACAGATGATAAAACTGAGGCAGAGGAGGTCACACAGCTAGAAAATGGCAAAGCTTGGATTGAGAGCCATGGAGACTGCTTATAAAAGTGAGGTGTTACTTAATTATACAGTTTTAACAAACCTTAAAATACCAGAAGTCCTAATCAGCATATTTAAGACTTGGAAGTATAACCTCCCTTAGAAACACAGCTGAACATAATGGGAATTGCTAATAAACACAGACAGTTAAAAACTTATCAACTTCCTAAAATTGGTTCCCTGGTGACACAGAGAACCTAGTTAGGATCAGCTTTCTTTCGTTGTCTTTGTTTTTGAGACAGGGTCTCGCTCTGTCACCCAGGCTGGAGTGCAGTAGCGGAAGCAGATCATAGCTTACTGCAGCCTCGAACTGCTGGACCCAAGCAGTCCTCCTACCTCAGCCTCCCAAGCAGCTGGAACTACAGGCATGAGCCACAATACTTGGCTAATGTTTTTTTTTTCAGACATGGGAGCTCACTATGTTGCCCAGGCTGGTTTTGTGCTCCTCCTCCCACCGTGGTGTCCCAAAGTGCTGGAGCAGCTTTCTTTATCCTCACCAGAATTTTTACAAACTTTTAATTTTAAGGCATAAATAATGTTACTTGTGTCTTACATTTTTTACTATTTTTTCTTTTACAGAAATAAATTAGACAATAATTCTAAGAGAAAGTTGATTCATAATATTTGTTTCTTCAAGATTATTATAAATTAACTGGTAAAATCAGCAGTTTTCCAAAAGTTCAAAATTTGGTAATTCAGGATTTATCTAAGCATAAGGAACTTCCAAACGCGTATGAATCACACTGAAAAATAAAGTCTCCTGGATCCTAAAGTTCCAATTCTGTAAAGAATCTCTACAGGTACCCCAAGGCAATCTGTCAAAAATGATGAAATAGGCTGGGTATGGTGGCTCATGCCTGTAATCTCAGCACTTTGGGAGGCTGAGGCAGGTGGATCACAAGGTCAGGAGTTCGAGGCCAGCCTGACCAACACAGTGAAACCCCATCTCTACTAAAAATACACAAATTAGCCAGGCGCAGTGGTGGTAGCCTGTAATCCCATCTACTTAAGAGAGGCTGAGGCAGGAGAATTTCTTGAACCTAGGAGGCGGAGGTTGCAGTGAGCCAGTGAGCTGAGATAGCACCACTGCACTCCAGCCTGGACAACAGAGCAAGACTCCATCTCCAAAAAAAAAAAAAAAAAAAAAAAAAAAAAGATGAGACATAAATTTGGATGAAAGACATTTTAGTCTATTAAAAACAGACTCCAGGGCATGGTGGCTCATGCCTGCAATCCCAGTGCTTTGGGATGCTGAGGCTGGTGGATCCCTTGAGGGTAAGAATTCAAGATCAGCCCAGACAAGACAGCGAGACCTCAACTCTACAAAAAATTTAAAAAATTAGCCAGTTTTCGTGGCATGTGCCTGTAGTCCTAGCAGGGTGGTGAGGTAGGAGGATCGCTTGAGCCCCGGAGTTTGAGGTTATAGTGAGCCATGACTATGCCACTGCACGCCAGCCTAGGCGACAGAGCAAGACCCTGTCTCTAAAACACATAATAAAATAAAATAATAAAAAATAAAAACAGACTCCATACTATTAAGCTTAGCAACTTTTACTCAACATCAAGCTTGTGTATGGCAGTCAAGGGAAAAGATGACTTACCTGGATTTGTGATGTTGAGTAGTTTACAGGAATAAGGATCCTCCCTGTCTTCCACAGGCACTTCACAGCCATGAGCACCTATTATGAACTTCACAAGCACACTGAGAGATGTGTTGGCATTAACATCAGTTACTGATCTTCACCTCGCACATGCACGTTTCCTCATGCCCATTTCAGAGCTTTTACTTTGAGACACAAGTGTTTATGAGGATTAATTCTCTACCTTTATTCTTCTAGTCAGACAAAATGGGGGAACAAGTAAACTGAAAGTTGCTAACTACCAAGTTACTTATGCATGAGTCCTTATTGCAATGCTATATTAAAGCAAGTATGAATATGTCTGGCCTCGCTACAAGCAAATGTTCATATCATTTAAAAGCAAACTATAGTAAAGTCAGTTCTCATGCCCATACCTAAAAACATATCTATATCTAAAATTTTCCTTTGCTGCCTTCTTCTATTTCAGAAAGTGTTCCTTTTGCTCAAGATTAGGTCTTTCCATCCAAGAGGAAATCCCCTTCTCTCCTAGACCTTGCTTCACTGGTTACCCCTGTAACTAGTGACTCCTTCCCTCCACATTACAAACATGATAAAGTCCTGACTCTAATTATTCTCTTCACCTTCCATCCTTCCTTGCCACCACACTTTACACTGAGGTCCTACAAAGAAATTAAAACTGCAGCCTGTTTCTTACTTCCCACTCATTTTATAAAACAAGAGTTTTAGCTTTAATATCACCACCTCCACTGAGATTCCACTAATGTAACCAATGAGCTGCTGCTAAATCAATAGACACTCTTGAACTCTTACCTTCCTGGTTTCTCTACGGCTTAATACTGCCCAGCTCCCTAAAATGCTCTCTTCCCTTCCTTCTGTGGCCTGCTCAGTCATCTTCACTGCCTCTTGTTCCCCAGCTTGTCCACTGAGAGTGGTATTAGTCTAGGGCTCTGCCTTTGGGTCTTTTCTCAATCTACTCATTTTTTTTACTTCCTCTCCCTAAACAATATTATTTATTCTCATGGCTTCAAATAGCATGGGAATGATTCCTGAATTAGTAACTCTAGTTGTTTTCTTTTTTTTTGAGACAGAGTCTCGCTCTGTCACCCAGGCTGGAATACAACAGTGTAATCTTGGCTCTTTGCAGTCTCCACCTTTCAGGTTCAAGTGATTCTCCTGCCTCAGCCTCCTAAGTGGCTGGGATTACAGGCGTGTGCCACCACGCCTGGCTAATTTTTGTATTTTTAGTAGAGACGGGATTTCACCATGTTGGCCAGGCTGGTCTCGAACTCTTGGCGTCAAGTGATCTGCCTGCCTTGGCCTCCCAAAGTGCTGGGATTACAGGTGTGAGCCACTGTGTCCGGACCTGAATTAGTAACTCTAGTTTAGACCCATGTAAAGGACCTGTAAATTCACTGGACATCTTCACCCAGATAACCCACAGACAGCTGTGTGCTAAAGCCTGCTACTACTGGCTTCTGGGAGCCAACTGTCAACTTTTCAGAAATTTTGTGAGACGGTTATTAAACATAGCCTTTATTTAAAATTAAATTATATAATCTTATAATATATATTAAAATCAAAGGAAATACTCAAATTAATCACTTAATGTTTTACTACATTTTACTATTATGTTCTTGAGATCATTTATATTTATTACATCTACATGGTGGAAATAGTATATATGGCATGCTACTGCTTATCTTTCCCCCACTCTGTGTTCAGTGATGTCACATTAGTCACTTGAATTGGCCATAGTGGAAATATTCACACCCTAGAAACTGGCAAATAATACAAATAAGGGTTTGGTTTATTGTTTTGTTGACTGTCTAGACTTAAGAAAGTATAGAGAAAATGTTGATAATGCAAATTAAGCTTAATGTGATGTGTCTATCTATAGCCACTACAGAGTGAATAGTTAAAAAAAAAAAAAAAAGTCAAGGAAGATACGATTCCAGTGTTCCAAAACTATTACCTGATACAGCATAGAAGTCACTGACTTTATTAAGTGTAAAGCTGACATATCTTAGTTGTCACTTTAGTCCTCACCTCACTGTTTAACTTAAAAGAAAGACTTTTGTCACAACTACACTCTTTTGTTAACTGCAACCATAAGTTGGTCATAGATAGGAGAGTCTGACAAACAACAAAAGCGTTCTATGAGAATCAACTGGTTTCATGGAATTTACGATAAACAGTATTGTATAGGTTATTATCTGTCAATTACAGGCTGTATATACTTTATGTCAATAAAATTTATAATAAACATGTATGTACATATAAGCATCATTTTTCCCAGAGAGCCAGTTAGTAAACCTTTATCAGTACACTACTGCCTGTAGGAACCTCAAGGTCAACATATACACAACTGAGCTTCTTTCCCATGAAACCTGCTCTTCTCTTTTAGTATTTTTGTTTTGATTGATGATTCCACTATTCTCCAAGTCAGAACACTAGCAATCTTCCTAGCCTCCTCCTCCATTTTCTACATTCAATGACCTTATTCTCTCACAAGGTCACCCCTCTGATCTCTGTAGATCAGCCCCTCAGCAGTCCTTGCCACAACAGGTCTCGTCCTTCCACTCAACCCTCCACATGCCTGTTACATGTGATCTGCTCACTGTCTGCCTCTCACAGTCATATGCTTCCCCCCTCTTTTCTTTATATACACCTCTCTACTCTCCTACCTCTCCTGGCTGTTTCTCTCACACTGTGCCACAACCCTTCCCCCACCACCACAAGCCCTGTGCTCAAGTTATATAGAAGTGTTAGGAGTTTCTCAAACACCCCGGGCTATTTTATATCTATTTATATCACAGCACATACAACATTTTATTATACGATTACACCTATTTCCTTCTACTAAATGTCAAGCCCCTCCTAACACTCTATTTATCTCTGTATTCTACCACACATACTACATTATTTGCTTACAGAAGTACTTAGTGTTGAGTTTGGGTCCTTTGGTGAAATGCAAGAATGGAAAATATGCCATAACCACAGAAATGCAGTTTCTGTTACTAATTACCAATTAAGGCAGAATACCTTTCATAGATAACTAGCATTTGGAATAAAAGTATAAACAGAAATGAATAAATGTGCTAACTAAATTATTGCAAGTATGTACCAAATTTGGTTTTTTAGCCATCTTACTAGGTACTCTTACTAGATCCACAAAATTACTGTGTCCCAGGAAGGTGTTTCTGCCTAATATCTATTTTTATACAGATAGCTGATCATTCTCATAACACAAATCAAGCACGCTAAATTTAAAGCAAGACTGTTATGATGGCAAATAAATTAGTGGTGAAATGTCTGAATATAAACTATATTCATTACATTTGGTTCTGAGTCATTCATTCAATAGTTGTTGAGTGCCTTAGTCTGCACCAAGCTAGGTTTTAGGTATTGGGAATACACCAGTGAAAAAACCTGAAGCCCCAATGCTCATGAAACCTACATTCAAGTGGAGAAAGACAAACAATTTTACAACTAAATACAATACAGATGCCAGCTGGTGATAAGTGTTACCAAAAAAAAATTAAAGCCAACTAAGGGAAGACACAAACAAGATAGGGGTGGGCTGCTATTTACTATGGGGCTGTCTGCTAGAGTGACATCTAATCAGAGACCTGAAGGAAGTGAGTCCTGAGGACATTAGTGAGAGAGGACGTAGGAAATGCAAAGGCCCTGAGGTAGGGGCACTTTTAGTGTATGAAAGTACAGTAAGGCAGCCAGTGTAGGGGAAGTAGATGTAGATAAGGTCAAATACCACAACAAAGACTTGGAGTTTCACTCTGAGCAAGAAAGGAGGTCAATGGAGGGGTATGAATAGAGAATTGACATAATTTGACTAATTTTAAAAGGATCACTCTGGCTGCTGTATGGAAAATAAAATGTAGGGGGTCAAAGGTAGAAGCAGTAAGTTCAGAGAAGGGGACTTCTGCAATAATCCAGGTGAGACATAATGGCAGCCTAGATCAGATGGCAGTGGTAAAGGTGGTGAGAAGTCAGATTCTGGGTATGGTCTAAGCAGCATCTGGAAGGTATGCTGATGGATTGGATGTGGCAGGTGAAAGGAAAAATCAGGGTAACACCAAGGGTTTTGGTCTGAGCAACTGGTGGAGGAGTCATTATTTTCTAACAGGGAAATACTACAGGAAGTACAGCTTTTGGAGGTGGTTCTGATAGTAGTGATGATTCTGAGGTCTTTCATTTGCTGTGTAATAGGCTCTATTATCATTGCAACCATGAACTAAAGAAACCTGTCTTGAAAAGGAATGAAAGCTACTATGAGTAAGCACTACTAGTGACAAGAAAATTCACAACTAGGCCGGGCTTGGTGGCTCACGCTTGTAATCCCAGCACTTTGGGAGGCCGAGGCAAGCAGATCACCTGAGGTCAGGAGTTCGAGACCAGCCTGGCCAACATGGTGAAACCCTGTCCTTACTAAAAATACAAAAATTAGCCGGGCATGGTGGCAAGTGCCTGTAATCCCAGCTACTTGGGAGGCTGAGGCAGGAGAATCGCTTGAACCCAGGAATTGGAGGTTGCAGTGAGCCAAGATCGTGCCACTGCACTTTAGCTTGAGCGACAGCAAAACTCCATCTCAAAAAAAAAAAAAATTCACAACTGCAATTTGCTTGTATAGCTACTCAGTCACAAATGTGCCAGTGCAATTCAATCCTGAAAGGGCCTTCTCTGCTTATCACCTGAGTCTTCACATACATAGAAGTCAACTTCTATGCGTTTCTTCCCCTAGTCCCTCACTACACAATCTTCAGAGGTTGATCTCATTGAGAACAGACTAAGGCTTTGGGCCCCTAACTAATAACTGAGAGCTATCTAATGTCAGCATGAAATGGATTACCAAAGCTCAGTTCCAGAAGGGTAGTCAGGAAAAAGAGCATGGCATATTACACATACTGCAGATTACACAACTAAAAAATACTACAAAACTGAAAAAAATTAAATTTATCTCTGTGAAGTTAGTGAAAAGTATATTTAGACATGCACATGTGTCTAAGGAGAGAACTGCTCTAGAACAGAACCTTTTAAGAATTGCTATTCTAAATCAAAGCAAAAAACAAACAAACCACACTGGGTATCTAAATACTACACGTTAACCAGTGAATATACTCTCTTCCAATTATCATTTGGCTTAAAATGTTGGTTAAATTTACTTTTTGGCCCAAACTATATGGAAGAAAAGCAAATGAAACAGCCATTTCTCCCAGGAAGAGCCCACATATCTGAATGAACATTTCTATTCAAAGTAAGGTTTTTCAGAACTTTTTTTTTTTTTAAATTAGGCAGGGACTCATTCCCATCATGCAGGCTAGAATGCAGTGGTGCAATCATGGCTCACTGCAGCCTCAATTTTCCAAGCTCAAGCAATCCTTCCACCTCAGCCTCCCCGGTAGCTGGGACGACGGGCACACACCACCACGCCTGGCTAGGTTTTTCAGAACTCTTATTTCAATAAACCAGGCAAGGCAACAACTCAGAAAACCTACCGTTGACTTAATGTGGGATGCTGTAGCAAATGTCTCATCCAGGTGCTTCTTATCACGTTTCGAAGTTCATGGTTATTGCGAGCTGACAACACGCCAACTACCACATCATAGTGAGTAGATTTCCACTGAGGAAATAAGGCCAACTGATCTAGAAATAAGAACAATACATGAGAAATAAGTCATGTATCAATTACTATGAAGTTCAATATGTATCATAAGTTTATTACAAAATAAGCTTATGTTTGTAGGAAATTCAGATAAACACAAAGAAAAGAATTTTTAAATCACATATGAACCCACTATCCAGAGACAACCACTAATAACATTTTGGTTTAGAGTATTTTTGTCTTTCACGTATATATGTATGTATTCATGCTCACGTAAGTATACTAATTCTTCAAAACAAACAAGATGTGGTAAGAATCTGTTTCAAAAGGCAACGTAGCATAAAAAAATAGTAGGCATTAAGAGTCAATTAGGCCACAGTTAGAATCCAGGCTCTATCATATATTAACTATAAGTTATTTAGCTTCTTGAGCCTCAGTTTCCTCAACTACAAAATGGGTATAATAATACTTCTCATAAAGCTGTTGTAAAAATTAAATGAGATAACATGTATAAAGCTCTTGGTTTGGTATTAGGCATATATGAGGCATTCAATGGCAACTAAAAAAAATGTGCTTTGAAAAGTGAGGTCCTACATTAATGTTAGTTATTAAGTTTGGCGGATGACGCTGAAGGACTTCCATACCGGAAAGTAATGCAACCCTTATTTATATCAATGAATTCTATAGCCAGTAAACCTTTCACTACCTACAAAATATTCTGAAGAATGACGGGAAAGCAACACTTTTAGTAAAAAAAAAAAAAAATAATAATAAAGTAAGTCATTCTGAACGGCTCATTTTTTACTGTCAGAAGGTCTAATGGGCAGGGTTACATTTCCATGTAAAACTTGTCCTTAGAAGACAGAAGAGAAAGATATACTTTGTCCTTGTTTTTCATCACCAGTTTTAAGGCTTGAGAGCTACAAGCTTATATATAGCTCTGATGAGGTATCCATTTCATCTCTTTCTCCAGTGGTGGGAACTGATCCAAAACGTTTCCAAAAATAAATTATTGAAGCCCAGACTCTTTACTATATTAAATGCAATGTTTTTATATACCATGGGATCTAGGTATTCAGTCTAAAAGACAACAAAACCAGGTTGATATTTTCTTCAAAGGCCCAATTAAAATAATAAAAACAGATCTTTCTACTAGGATAGTTTTAAGGATATAATACAGAAATTTTTGTGTAGATACCTTATTTTCCACAATAGATATATTTCTTAAAATGTTTCATTCTGGGCCAGGCACGGTGGCTCATGCCTGTAATCCCAGCACTTTGGAAGGCCGAGGTGGGCGGATCACCTGAGGTCGGGAGTTCAAGACCAGCCTGACCAACATGGAGAAACCCTGTCTCTACTAAAAATACAAAATTAGCCGGGTGTGGTGGTGCTTGCCTGTTATCCCAGCTACTTGGGAGGCTGAGGCAGGAGAATCTCTTGAACCCGGGAGGTGGAGGTTGGGGTGAGCCGAGACCGCGCCATTGCACTCCAGCCTGGGCAACAAGAGTGAGACTCCACCTGAAAAAAAAAAAAAAGTTCCATTCCAAATGGAATAGAGGTATTTATTATTTCACTCTACAATGAGTCATGTACTAAAACGAATTCTTTTATAAAGACAATTTATTTTTAAATAAATTCAAATTTTCATGGATTAAGCTTATTAATAGGCCATATTTATTGAACAGTTAATCTGTGAAAAGCACTACATATAGAGTATCATTTAATGTTCACAACCCTATGAGGTAGGTACTTGTTTCTTTTTTTTTTTTTTTTTGACGGAGTCCCACTCTGTGGCCCAGTCTGGAGTGCAGTGGCGGCGATCTCGGCTCACTGCAACCTCTGCCGCCCGGGTTCAAGTGATTCTCCTGCCTCAGCCTCCTGAGTAGCTGGGATTATAGGCGCCTGTCACTGTGCCTGGCTAATTTTTGTAGTTTTAGTAGAGATGGAGTTTCACCATCTTGGCCAGGCTGGTGTTGAACTCTTGACCTTGTGATCCACCGCCTCGGCCTCCCAAAGTGCTGGGATTACAGGCGTGATCCACCGTGCCTGGCCCAGTACTTGTTGAACAAATGAAACACCCAAAGAATTCAGTAACTTAAGTCAAACAGCTTGGAAATGGCTGGGCTAAGATTTAATCCCAGGCAATCTAACACCATTCTTTATCACTGTTCTATTCTAAAGCTATACAGCTTAATATAGCTTATCTGAGTCTAAATTCTGATCTTTTAATCCACAATACCAGTTCAACTGAATTAGCAATAAGCGGATCATTGAATACGCTGGGTAACACATCAATTTTTTTTAACTCATAGCTCAGAACATTTTTTCTCAGATACATAACTATATGATGGAAGTTGTACCTAGTGCTGGAACTCACTCTAAATGAGTGTCTGAATTCAGAGACTAATTTAAATGACTATGTAAAACTGACAATATGCCTCCCCACCTTTTTCACAGAGAAATATGTACATTCTAGTGTCAGGAAGGAGGCAAAACAAAGGTAGTGACCAGCCAGTTCTGACATTGATTCCACAGCCAAGATTTTGCATTACGTTAGTAAGAAATTATTTAAATCCCTGTGCTTCAACTTCTTAATTAGAGAAAACTGATACAAAAAAAATTTTGGATATTCTATTTCATTTGTTTCAAAGTCTCATCTCAAAAGATTAAAAGCTGTAGGGCAAAAATCACATTTAATCTAAATGCCTCATTTATCTGACATCATCAGAAAATAAGGATGCTGCACAAAAGCAAACTTTCAAAATATTTGAAACATCACTTTTAATTCCAATAATTTACTACCTTATTTTTGATGGCTAATCAAAGCAAATCTTTTAGAAATAGATTACATAGAACATAATTTAATCTTTTCTTGATGTCTCAAAATCTTCATGAAAATTTCTCAAATCTATCCCTTTCTTGTCATTAATTCTAGCTGCTGCTCAGTTCGGTCTGTTTTTTCACCTGGACCAGTACGAGGGCATCCTAACTGGTTTTTACCTGACTTCTCCATATAATTGTCAAACAAGATTTTTCTAAAAATAATAAAGAAATACAAAGATAACCATGTGACATGTGAAAATCCCATGGATTATGGATGGAAACCTCTTTTTGATCTTATTCCACCTCTCTGCCACTCTCAATCCCCCCTGCTTCTAATCCATGTCTAAGCTGCTTCTGTTCAACTGCTTTACTTTACATGCATTTCTCTTTTTCTTGCAGAGGGAAAGTAACACGGCATATCGTGGTCTTTTAGAGAACTACTTCAAGATATATTGAAGTCAAATGTCAGAAAAATAGGTTTTTTAACCACATACCATTAATGTAAATTAGTCCAATAGACTCCTGAGTACTGTGTTACACAGTACAAAACCCAAAGCAGATGCATAATAAAATACCTATGTAAGAATGTTGCTCAAATTTCTAGCTCCCTTTACCAATCTGGCTCTAAACTCTTATCACCTTTTATGTTACAAGAACAGGGTACCTAGTTGACTCCAGTGTCTAGAAACAGAGGGAAAAAAAGAAAGTGGTAAGAAGTAAACATGATACAGAAGGACATAAAGATAATTCAGAAAAGAAAAAAGGCAAATAGCAAGCCTATGAAAACATGTTCAACTTCAATAAGAATCAAGTTTGAATTAGAGCAATGAGACACCAGTTTTCTCCTACATTCAAACTGACAAATGTCTTCTTAAATGATTGTAACTAAATGATGGTACTTCAAGGAAATGTTGTTAGTGATTTCAACAAAGTGGCTACTCTCCGCCGGGCACGGTGGCTCATGCCTATAATCCCAGCTTCAATTTTGGGAGGCCGAGGAGGGCAGATCACAAGGTCAGAAGTTCGAGACCAGCCTGGCCAATATGGTGAAACCTCATCTCTATTAAAAATACAACAAAAATTAGCTAGGTGTGGTGGTGCATGCCTGTAATCCCAGCTACTCGGGAGGCTGAGTCAGGAGACTTGCTTGAACCTGGGAGGCAGAGGTTGCAGTCAGCCAAGATCCCGCCACTGCTCTCCAGTCTGGGTGACAGAGCTAGACTCCTTCTCAAAAAAAAAAAAAAAAAAAAAAAAAAAAAAAAGGCTACTCTTTTTCATTGCGGGAAGGAATGTAATTTGGTACAGTCTTCTGCAGGGCAATTTGGCAATGTGTCAAATAATTTAGAATGGTGTAACTTTGTCCAGCAATTCTAAGAACTCATTCTAAAGAAATAATCAGTGATACACTCAGAAGATCTTTATTAATCATAGTGTCACCTATTAATAGCGAAAAACTGCAAGCTACATAAACACATAAAGGACTCATTAAATAAATTATGGTGTAGCTATATGACAGAATACTATGCAGCCATTAAAATTACATGTTAATCATATCATTAAACATTATTCTATTAATACATCATATTAAGATAAACAGGCGATAGGAACTATGTAGATACTAGACGGTTCTGTTTATATAAAGTACAAAAGTAGCCAAATTTCTGCCACTGGTTACTATCCCTGGTAGTGACAAAACAGAGCATGAAGGGAACTTCTGAAGCACTGATAGTTTTCTTTTTTTAAATCTGGGTGGTGATTAGTTGGGTGTGTTCAATTTGTGAAAATACATCAAACTGCGCCAGTTTTATTCTCTTGATTTATTCACTCAAATGACAGAGCATCTCCTATGCTCATTGTTCTAGATGGCACAGATACAGCAGTAAACAAAATCTTCATAATGTCAGGACTAAATCACAATCCCAAGCAAGCTCCCTGAGGGCAACGTAAGGGCCAAGGGAAAGTTTTCCCTCTGAAGGTTCGGTGAAAATCACTGACAAGAGATGGACAGGAGAAAAGGCATATAAATTTATTTGATCAGTAAAGATACAGGAGAAAGTGCCCATTTCTGTGCTTAGGTTTAACAAAGTATAGATAGCTATGTGGAATTAAGATTGGACAGAAAGGGTAGGATCTAATGTTAACAGATGGAGTTGGAAAACCCAGCAAGGCCTGTCTAGATTCTTCTTGTCCTCTCTGAGTATACATTCTTTCCTACTGGGTATGGGATAGGACCCTCTCTGGTATGAGGTTCTTATGACCTTTAATAAAAGAAGGTAAGTTAGGTAATTTTTATATAGAAAGGAGGTGGTGGGGGCTAGTTAGAGTAATATGTTTAGGTTTTATGGCTGGCTTTGGGGAAGAGGGATTTTAGTTTCTACAGCTAGCCTCAGGTGAGAATGCAAGGCCAGAGAGAGGACAGCAGCAGCAGGTCAGAGACAGCTGCTTCTGAGGCCTTATTTTGGGGTATTGTTTTCTTCTGAGACCCTACAGTAAGAACTATTTCTTTTCTTAATATGTAATATATCCTGAGAGTCTGGCAACCTGCTCAACCCTGCACTGTGAGTGGACATCCAAAGGTATATTAAAGTCTAAGGGAGGGCCTGGCGCAGTGGCTCATGCCTGTAATCCTAGCACTTTGGGAGGCCGAGGTGAATGAATCGCTTGAGGTCAGGAGTTCGAGACCAGCCTGGCCAACATGGCAAAACGCAGTCTCTACTAATAATACAAAAATTAGCTGGGTGTGGTGGCACACACATGTAACAGAGGCTGAGGCAGGAGAATGGCTTCAACCCGGAGGCAGAGGTTGCAGTTAGTCAAGATGGTGCCACTGCACTCCAGCCTGGGCGACAGAGTGAAACTGTGCCTCAAAATAATAATCAAAAAAGTCTAAAGAAGGTTGACATCAAAATTGATTGCTCAAAATAAGCCCAAGAGTCTTAAAAATCACACCAAAATTCCACTCTGATATGCATGCTCTTGGAAGAGTCACAAATAGATACAAATCTTGAAAATGAAGAAAACATGTGAGCCTGTCACAGATCTAATGATAAAGACAATCATCATACACACTACCAAAGACACCTCCCAAAACACCACACTAGCACAGGCATCAGCGGCCACCAGACTACCACTCCTCTCTCAAACTCATGGAGTGTTTACTATGAAACAGGCACTGTTGCGGGTGTTTCATTAATTGAATCTTCACAATAAGTCTATGAGATCATCATCTTATAAATAAGGAAACTGAAGCACAGAGACACAATTAGCATATAGGGATAATTTTGGAAGAACTCACCCCAGGCAAAATTACAAAGCAAGCTCAATTTGTTTTCTGACCTTCTACTTGCTCTACATCTGTTTCCATTAGATACTGTGAGCACCTTGGGAGAAGGGACTAGGCATCCAGCACAGAATCTAACACTCAAGTACTTGTTGAGTGAATATGCTCCTTTGTTTTGGTTTCTTTCTTTCCAGATACCCTAGAAAGCGAAGCCTTCTTTTGTCACATCATTTTTCTAAATTAACCGTTAAATAATTCCTACTTAAGGCATTACCCAAAACGAGCATTTTGTAATCAAGATATCCTATGTTTAGATTCCTTAGTCCGATGGTTATCTCCACCTGCATTTTCCTCTGTCACCCTCAGGTGTACTGGATTTCACTTCCTCTTTACCAGTTGCTTTCCCTGACTGGTTTAAGGGAACCTATCACATTAAAAAAGTTGCTGACTCTGGTACTAAGGTGACTCACTTACTTCATTCTGGTCCCTGCTCAACTGTTACCTCTTCAGAATGGAATGGACTTCCCTGACCTATTTAAAACCATCTCTTTAATCTCTTAACACTGCTTTATCTTTTTTCCCTATACTTATCACTACCGCTGTGATATTTATAATTATTTCCTGATGCTCTGTCTTCCCTTCTAAATTGTAAACTACATGAGGGCAGGAAGTTTAGCTTGATTACTGCTGTAATTCCACACCTACGATAGGAGCTGGCACAGAGTAGGCTCTCAAATATTTGCTGAATCAACTGCGAGCCAAAGAACCTTTTTTAATATTCAGGGAAGGTAAATCGCTCTTTCAAAAAAAACAAAGAAACTGCCATTACTTAATGAGACTGAAGACAGACAAAGCAGCAGAAGAGAAAAAAAAATACATTTAAAAATGTTAATTCAAGAAAAGAATACTTAGCAAAATCTTGGGTTTTTTTTTCTCCTGTTAGGCTTAAAGTACAAGGGTTAAAATGTAAAAACACCCAACTATTTTAGTTTCAACATGGTGACAGCACAATGGTAAAGGAATTATGGGAAATTTTAGCATTTAAGATGCTTCCACTGCTTTTAGCTTTGAAAGTACCAAAAGGAAAAAAGGAAAGGTAGGAGTCAGTCTTGTTTAATTAATTAATTAATTATTTTGAGATGGACTTTCGCTCTTGTCACCCAGGCTGGAGTGCAGTGGCGCAATCTCGTCTCACTGCAACCTCCGCCTCCGAGGTTCAAGTGATTCTCCTGCCTCAGCCTCCTTAGTAGCTGGGATTACAGGCATGCACCACTATGCCCGGCTAATTTTTGTATTTTTAGTAGAGACGGGGTTTCGCCATGTTGGCCAGGCTGGTCTTGAACTCCTGACCTCAGGTGATCCACCCACCACGGCCTCCCAAAGTGTTGGGATTACAGGCGTGAGGCACCGCGCCGGGCCAGTCATGTTTAACTTAGATTATTAAAATATCGATGGTTGACAGCTGCAGCAAACCACCATGGCACACGTTTACCTATGTAACAAACTTGCACGTCCTGCACACGTATCCCGGAACTTAAAAAAAAATCCCATTTATTATCTGACCAGATACACAGTACTCATTCAAAGCCAAAGTTAATTAACATAACTAGTATTGATCTTCTTACCTACGTTATTACCCTGTTCCTTTCTATGGTCTACTTCTTCATTTCCTTAATCTAGCCTGGTCTAACTACTGGATGGCAGATAAAGGCATCATCCTTCAAGTGCAGTAAGGGAGTAGGAAAAACTTGTCTCAAACTAGAAAACTGCCTAGCAAGTCTACTAAGATTTCAGTTTGAAGTCTACTAACATTTCAGTTTTTGTTTGTTTTACTGAACCCTAAACAACCATTAAGGCCATAAACAGACTTAATGACGCTCTACAAGGAGATTCCAGCAGGGCTCACTCATAACAAAAGAGAGAAACCTGTAACACACAAGCAGCTGTTACAAAGCATTTTTTATATATGGCGTTCTCTTCTTAGTTCACTTCACAAAAACCTAAAAAACACTGAGCAAAACCCTGACCCCATCAACTGGTTAAGTGCATAGCAACACTGTACTTTCATTAAATCACTTAAATAGTGTTTAATTCTATTCAGGTCACACAAATCCTTTTCAAAGAGCTAGTGATCTAATAGGAAAAGAGATTGTTACCAAAATAACCTCAACATAATTTCATATAACTGAGACTGTTTTGAGGATTGCCGAATACTTTCTACTTATAAGGCATAGAGTGCTGAACTGCAAACACTCAATTCTAATTTTAAGAACTTTTGGATTAGAAAACAGCTGTTTTGGGGAGAGATGGTAAGGGAAAAAAGTCCCAGTATAGTTACAAAATTAAGTATTACATAATATTTAAAAGAGCTTTCTAGGTTTCTTTCATGTTCTAGGGCAAGCCCTTAAAGAAGAAGACAAGAGATACAGGGAAAGCTAAAGTAGTGTTCAGGGTGGTGGAACCCACTAACAAAACAATCCGCTGGGCACCGTAAGTAAAGCATTCTATTAGGCTGTGACGCGAAACAAGAACAAAGGTTTCATTCCTACGAGAGATTAAGTTTTAGAGCAAATGGACACGATCGTTAAAGAATTTGATATTTCCATGTAAACTGCATTAGCAGGTTATGCGATCCAAACTCACAGGAACAACTCCAACTCTCGGCCATGCCCTATTTCATGTCTAGATTTGTTTAACCGACTTACATCATAATCCAAGAATACGAACTACAGTATATTCTTACAGCAAAGTTATTCCTTAAAAGCAAAACCGAGCCACCTTTGAAAACACGCACACACATTATCCACGGCACTAAAACCCCAGTCTTGACCGAGAAAGACCAACAACTTGGGGGGGAAGAAAACAACTTCAGAGCCAGAGCTCCCAAAGCAGAAAGCGCTGGCGGCTGAAGGGCACACGAGGTTCCGCTCCCGGGCGAACGGGCGGCGTCGGACATCACTAACCAGGCCTGGGGACAGGCGAAGGACTTGCAACTGCGGGCGCCGGCTCTGCGGGCGTTAAGGGAAACGGGGAAGTGAGAAGAGGCGGGGACACGAAAAGAGAAAAGCTCCCTCAAGTTTGCCCGATGTTAACGCTCCAAGGATGAAAAGAGCCGTTTGTTTCGTCTGGGGACCGTCGCGTTTGGCCCTTCCCCCGCCTCCAACAATTCCCGGCGAAGCCCCGCGGCACCAAGCCGGGCCTCCCACCCCCCCGGCGGCCGCCAACCCGCCCGGCCCCAGGACCTCACCTGCAGGGCCGGCCCCGGAGGCGCAGGCGGGCGGCGGGGAGCGCAGCCGCAGCCAGAGGTGCAGCGCGGCCCCGAGCACACACGGGCACAGCAGCACCAGCCAGTTTCGCATTGGCCGCCCCCGCCGCGAGCCGGGCTCTCCCGCGTCCCGGCGGAGAGGGAGGGGACCTGCAAGTGCGGAGACTGAGGGGCGGCGGCTGACGAGCGACCACTCCGAGCACGCCCGCCCTCGCGCTCGGCGACGTCTGGGGGGCTCCTCGCAGCTCCCGGCCCCGCTCCTCCGGTCCCTCAGACCGCGGGTGGCCGCGGCTTAGCCGGCCGAAGCCCCGCCCCCTCCGCCTGGCCTTCCCACCGGCTCCGCCCACCTTTTCTCCCACTCGCCCCGCCCTCTCCTCCCGCGTTTCCACACGCGCCAGCCAGCCGGCCGGGAGCTGAAGTCCCGCTCTGGGCCCAGGCAGGGGGCGCCCGCGGTTTAGAAACCACATTTCCCATGAGCCTAAGCACGCGCTTCCGTCACTCGGCGGCCGCGGGGGCGAAGGGCGAGGCCCCACACAGAGCATGCGCATCCCCCTTGACGTTTGCTGCCACCCCACGGCCCAGGGGAGGTAGTGCCGGAGACCCGGTGCTCGGAGGCTGCCCGGAGCCGCGAAGGGAAATGCGCTTTGCCTCAGATTTGAAGGAAATCCGAGTGGCTCTTGTGTGAAATCACGCAGAGCTCCTTTGTTCCGCGTGCTCTCTTGCTCGACTGCTGTGGGAGGTGGGATCCTGCTGACGTCTCCTTGGCCCGTAGAGTGGGGCGAGGAAGCCCGAGTGTCCGCGCCTGGAGCGGTGACTCATCAGGGATTAGCTCTGGTGCCGTGGGTTCCCGGCTCTTTGCCCGGTTCTGTGCTCTGGGAACGCAGGGTGACAGACAGCGAGCTGGGGACTAGGCTGTGGAACACGATGATGACGAGCCAATCAGGGTAGAACTGCACGTGCTCCGGGTTCATACTGGAGCTGGGAGCGAAACGGGAGCCGGGCGAGCTGGGAGAACGTGGGCTCCGGGGACCTGGGGAAGGGTGGCCGCAGCGAGCCTTCCAGGGAGAACGCCGGCCCCGCGTCTTGAGGCTTTGCCCCGGGTGGGAGCCCTCCTGGCCCACCAGGCCCGCGCCGAGGCAGCCGGAAAGCGGGGACGGGGCGGTGAAGGCACTGGGGTGAGGATGGGAGAGAAGGATGAGAACGAGCGGCTGGGCTATGGGGCGGTTTTTGTTTCTGCTTTTGTTTTTGAGACGGAGTCTCACTCTGTCACCCAAGCTGTAGTGCAATGGCGCGATCTCGGCTCGCTGCAACCTCCGCCTCCTGGGTTCAAGCGATTCTCCTGCCTCAGCCTCCTGAGTGGCTGGGATTACAGGCGCCCGCCACTGCGCCCAGCTAATTTTTGTATTTTTTTTGTAGAGACGAGGTTTCGCCATGTTGGCCAGGCTGGTCTCCAGCTCCTGACCTCAGGTGATCCGCCCGCCTCGGCCTCCCAAAATGCTTGGATTACAGGCGTGAGCCACCGCGCTCGGCCGCGGTTTTTTTTTTTTTTTTTTTAAGTTTCCACAAGTGTGGAAACAGAAGGTGACTGTATTATTGAAAAAAAGTCTTGGATGACAGAAGACCCAACTCAAACAGGCTTAAGGGAAAAAAGTACTTTGGCTCGCCGTGGCTCATGCGTGTAATCCCAGCACTTTGGGAGGCCGAGGTGGGCGGATCACTTGAGGGCAGGAGTTCGAGACTAGCCTGGGTAACATGGTGAAACCCTGTCTCTACTAAAAATACAAAAATTAGTCTGGCGTAGTGGTGGGCACCTGTAGTCCCAGCTACTCAGGAGGCTGAGGCAGGAGGATCGCTTGAACCCAGGAGGCGGAGGTTGCAGTGAGCCGAGATCGCGCCATTGCACTCCAGCCTGGGTGACAGAACGAGACTCTGTCTCAAAAACAAACAAACAAACAAAAAAAAAATAAAAAGAAAAGGCAAGAAAGTAATAATTGGTTGCCAGAAAAAGTATACTATTTTTATCCTCAGGAAAGGTAGTAAATGGCCTCTGTTGATATTGTAAAATTTTCATTTTGTGAATTAGAATGAGTTATCCTAAAAAGAGGACTAATCCCTCATTTCAGCAGAGCTAGTCATTCGACAAATACTTATTGAGTGTCTATTATGTACCAGACACTTTTGTAGGTACTTTAGATACACCAGTGAACAAAATAAAGATCCCTATCCTGTGTTGATGGGGAGTAGGGCGCAGACTATAGACATAATAAAGAAATATACTCAACCAGCATGTTAGAAGGTTATTCCTGCTCTGGAAAATATAACAATTAGGGCCGGGTAGGGGAATTGTGAGTGTGGGATTGAAATGACACAGATTGCAGTATCAACTAGCAGTATTTAAACAACTGTTCAAAGTTACAATGAGCACTAAAGGGAAGAATAAACATAAGTCATCCGAATATATTAAATAATCAAGGTGTTGTTTCACTTAACAACCTAGAGGGGAAGTTTTTCACTGGCTCTCTGACAAGCTTGTAACAAAAATAGTTTTGAATAACTTTGTAACATCCTTCAAATCACATCAGAGTGGGAGCTGTCTATAGTACTTGTTCATAGGACCAGTGACCTTTCCACTTACCTGTTTTCTACTGTCCCCTAATAATCTCATGACTAAAGTGAGTGAAGATTGCAAGACAGTAATTCCTGTAATCCCAGCACTTTAGGAGGCTGAGGTGGGAGGATCACTTGAGTCCAGGAGTTCAAGACCAGCCTGGGCAACATAGCAAGACCTCGTCTCTACAAAAAATTAACAATTAGCTGGGCATGGTGGTATACGCCTATAGTTCCAGCTACTCGGGAGGCTGAGGCAGGATGATCACTTAAGCCCCAGAGTTCAAGGTTAGAGTGAGCTATGATCACACCACAGGACTCAGTCTGGGTGACAGAGTGGGACCTTGTTTCTAAAAAAAAAAAAAAAAGGTAAAAGTGACAGTATGTGTAATGGAAAGAATAAAAAAACTCAGTAGTGATATAAACAGTCTGTGCACTCAAGGGGCTCATAGGGTAAGTAGGAACAAGTTAACAGAATTAGAATTAGGGAGAGACAAACTAGGGTGGTTGGTAACCATGATGGCAATTCAATGTGATAAGTGCTCTGAGAAAGGAATGCACAGGATGTTAGAGCAGCACAAAGCAGGGGGTACAGCTGTCTCTACTCATGGGGGATTGGTTCTGGACCTTCTATGGATACCAAAATTCATGGATGCTCAAGTCCCTTATATAAAATGGTATAATATTTGCATATAACATACACACATCCTCTCATATACGCGAAATCATCTCTAAATTACTTATAACACCTAATATGATGTCTACGCATCACTTCATTCACGTGGATTCAATGGCATGCGCAAATTCAAGTTTGCTTTTTTCCTGAATTTGAGGTTGGTTGAATTCATAGATGCAGTACCCAGGGATATGGAGGGCCAACTATATTTAACTCTACTCAAGGGTCCCCAGAGGAGGCTATCTCTTGAAAATACAGGGCCGGGGCTTGAAGTCAAAGTGGCCAGTTAACAGGGCCAGAAAGTAGGAAGGACATTCAAGAGCACTGTAGGCAAAAAAATAAAAAATAAAATAAATAAACCTGAGCTAGTGATGACACGGCAATTAGGGAAATGTAAGCAATTGGTATGACCTTAGTGCAAGTTAGGAACACGGCAATGATGAGAAGGTGAACAGAAGGCAGAGGCCAGGTTGTAATCATAAACTTTGCTAAGGAATTTGGACTTTATTGTGAAGGCTCTAAAGAAGAATTTTTTTTTCTGATTACCAATGTAATACATGATTATGAAAAGGATCTTGGAAAACAGAAGAATATAAGAAATCATACTACATACAATTCATACATTTTTTAAAAGTTTTTTCATTAAAAAAATTTGCCATTCATACTGTAAGTTAGAATTTATATCCAACTATTTTCACCTAACCTATAAGCCTTCCCATATTTAATTAGTAGTCTCAGAAAATATAACTTAATCATTTGTCCACACTATAATTTCTTATCTGGTCCCGTATTATTGGACATACAGGTTGTTTCCATTATTCCACTATAATAAGTAATACTGGCACTTCTGTGCACAAAACTTTTTCCACATTTCAGATAATTTCCTTTTCTGATATTATTTTTAAGCCGCTTTATTCATACTGCTATTGTTTCAATGTGTATGTCTGCCTTCAATATGTTTCTCTTATCTCACCCTCATATTTTAAAAAAGTTCTTTATTAATTCAAAGGACAAAACTTTTCATCAATGAGATTGAATATTCTTATGTTCGTTAGCTGTTTCTATTTCTTTTGTTAATTAGTCATGTATCTTCCTTTTATCCATTTGTATAAGCCCTTTATTTTTCCTCAGTTTTCTTGCCTTCTAATTTTATAACTTTTAGGACACAAAAACACTTTAAATTTTTATAAATTCAAATGATCAATATTTAATTTTTTTCCATATTTTAGGATGATTCTGATCGTGAGATCTGGTCAATATTCTTGTTTGTTTTATTTAATGTTTTAATCCATTTGGAATTTATTTAGGAATATGGTGTAATGCAAGGATCTCAAAATTAATTAATTTTTTTCATATAGCTAACTATTGTCCTGGCCCATTATTTCCCTATTAGTTTATGACATCACCTCAATTTATTAAAAATTTTTAACATAATAGTATTTGTTTCCAAGCCACAGTTTTGCATTCATCTGTCCTTTCATCAGTACCGTAATACTCTAATGATCCTAGTTGTATAATATTTTGTAATCCAGAGGGCAATTCTCCCTCTCAATACTCTTTATTTCTCACATATATATATATATTTTTTTTTTTTTTTGAGACAGAATTTCGCTCTGTCATCCAGGTCTGGGCTCACTGCAACCTCTGCCTCCCAGTTTCAGGCAATTGTCTTGGCTCAGCTTTTCGAGTAGCTGGGACTACAGGAGCGCACCACCACAGCAGGCTAATTTTTGTATTTTTGTAGAGACAGGGTTTTGCCATGTTGGCCAGGCTGGTCTTGAACTCCTGACCTCAGGTGATCCACCCGCGTTGGCATCCCAAAGTGCTGGGATTACTGGCGTGAGCCCGGCCTATTTCTAATGAATTTTATAATAATTTGTATAGTTATTCGACTTTCCCCTAAACCTTATGTTTAATAAAAAACTAATGCATGGTTATCATAACAAACACAAGTAATGTAATACAAGTGTAAACAAAATATATAATGTTAGAATCCTTCAGCCCACCCCAATCTTTCTTTCCAGACTTAGCCACTATAGCCCAGATATTTCTTCTTGTATATATATTCTGAATTTTTCCAAATTTCTTTACTTTTCCAGTGATGGAAAGGGAGGAATCACCCTCCTTTTCAATCCCCATGTATGCAATCTGTCCCCTTAACCTGTATAACTCCAGAAATTCTAGTCCCCTCTCTCAATATTTCTAAGTACCAAGGCGTGTTCTCTTTTCCACGAGGTCATCATCAGTCTCGTTGCCACCTCTTGTTCCAGACTGCTCTAGTGTTCTCTATCAACCACCTCAACTCATAACCACTTCTCGAGGCCACAGCCCCAGATTCTTCTGCTTTGACCCGAAACACAGACATAGTGCCTCCGTTTATCCCCCAGTCACAGCTAAGACATGGCTGGCATGTTTAACAGACTTGTAAAAGGATTGGCCGGGCGCGGTGGCTTACCCCTGTAATCCTAGTGCTTTGGGAGGCTGAGGCGGGCGGATCCCCTGAGGTCTGGGTTCCAGAACAGCCCGACCAACAGGGAGAAAACCCATCTCTACTAAAAATCCAAAATTAGCCGGGAGTGGTGGCATATGCCTGTAATCCCAGCTACTCGGGAGGCTGAGGCAGGAGAATTGCTTGAACCCAGGAGGCGGAGGTTGCAGTGAGCCGAGATGGCACCATTGCACTCCAGCCTGGGCAACAAGAGTGAAACTCCGTCTCAAAAAAATAAATAAATACAAGAATTTAGCCTGAGAAGATACAGACAGAAAACTTTTAACTTGATATGAGATAAACTTGCTCCTATGGTCCCCCAATAGAGGTCCCTACTGGCTATCTCTTGCCTTAAGCCTTACCCCAGCCCTTTAATGACACTTCCAAGCGCCTTCTCATCCCTTCCATATGAGGGTCACTTCTTGCTGGTTCTCTTTTCTCTAGTACAGGGCCCAATTCGATCAGCCAGTGAAATAAAAATTGCCCTTGAACATCTCTTAGTTTAAAATATATAGTATGTATGTTTTTGTATATGTAATTCTGTAAAAGTATTTTTTTATTCCTCTAATTCTTATTTACTTATTTGGTAGGGATGAGCTCTCACTATGCTGCCCAGGCTGGTCTCGAACTCCTGACCTCAAGCGGTCCTTCTACCTCAGCCTCCCAAAGTGCTGGGATTACAGGCATAAGCCACTGTGCCTGGCCCTCTAATTCTTTATCATTAAAGTTTCTCGTCAGGCTTTAGTTGTTCACTTTCTTCCTCAAGGAAACCATCTTGCCTGGTCACTTAATCAACAAATTTCACTTTTTTTTTTTTTTTGGTGAATAGTTGGGAAACCTTAAAATCATTCAGATATTCTTTTCAGGACTCCTGGCACTCTGCCTCGGGTGGGTACACGCTGCCCTAGTAATGCGTGCTATTTAAATGATTGCTTCTCTTTCTTTTTTAAGCCAATGGTTGAATTCTTTTAAATTAAATGCCTGTGATATGACGACCAGATAATCTTTGCAGAAGACAACCTTTACACTAGCAGACAGAATCATTAACATTTCAGTCTGAAAGCATCTTGACTCGGGCTTCTCCAAGAAGAGTAGGAAAATAGACACTGCCAAACTGTCCTTCAAAAATGTGCTCAAGGAGGGAGGTTGGTGTAACAGGAACAGAGTGAGTGGTGAGGAGAATAATCGGGGATGATGTAGTCCCTAGCAAGAATATGATATAAATCATGATAAGGATTTGGGCTTTTACTCCGAAATGAAAGGGGAGTAGTTACATGGTGGGGTTTTGTTTTTTTTTGTTTTTTTGTTTTTTTGTTTTTTTTTTGAGACAGAGTCTTGCTCTGTCACCTGGGCTGGAGTGCAGTGGCGCGATCTCAGCTCACTGCAACCTCTGCCTCCTGGGTTCAAGCAATTCTCCTGTCTCAGCCTCCAGAGTAGCTAGGATTACAGGCGTGCACCACCATGGCCAGCCATTTTGTATTTTTAATAGAAATGGGGTTCTACCATGTTGGCCAGGCTGGTCTTGAACTCCTGACCTCAAGTGATCCGCCGGCCCAGCTCCCAAAGTTCTGGGATTACAAGTATGAGCCACCGCACCCAGCCTACATGGTGGGTTTTAAGCAAAGGAGTGACATGATCTGACTTATGTGTTAGCAGGAACACTCACATTGCTGTGTGGTGAATAGACTGACTGGGGGTGGGGAAAAATCTACCGTGTGGAGTAGCGGAGGAGATGATGAGTATCATTCAAGTCTTGAGAAAAGCTGCAGTAGCAAGAGCCAACCAGAAGATGGAAGAGGGATCCTGGGTGCTTCTATATGGAGTTGATCTATCTGAGGGTGCAGAGGCCGACTCTAAGATGCTGTGGTGCATCTCCCCAATTCAGGATGGAAAATGTTGACTGCAAAGGAGTCTCAGTTGAATCTCTCTCTCTGGGAACTGCCCTTGGCTGAAGGTGGCTGCCTCACCCAAGGGTACAGCTCCCTCCTGAGAGACAACCTGCATCCAGTGACTACTCAAGGAACGGTGTAAAGATGTGGGTAACTCTGAAGAGCCATCCCGTGGCCTCTCTTGCAACTGCGTCACAGTCCAACTTCTCCCTCCGCCCAATTCTGCTTTCCTCACTCCCTTACCGGCATTCCCAAGAGCAGTCCCCAGTAAACCTGTATACAACCCGTGTTTCAGAGTATGTTTCCATGGGAACCTGACCTAAGACAGCGATTCTGTTAAATGACATGAAAGATGATGTCATTTCTCTACCTAAAACCCTGCAAATGGCTCTCCAGTTCTGTTCTCTCACAGGGAAACCAGAGTCCCTTACAGTGGCCTGCAGGCCGTTGTCATCTGTAGGCCGTTGTCATCTGCAGGCCGTTGTCATCTGTAGGCCATTGTCATCTGCAGGCCGTTGTCATCTGCAGGCCTGAACCCCTCTAACCTCATCCTCTATTCCCCTCCTTCTCATTCAGTTTGCTCCAGAACCATCCTGGCCTCCTTTCCATCCCGAGAATAGGACAGGTACATTCTTTCCTCGGGATCTTTGCACTTTGTTTCTTCTGCTCTTCTTCCAGATATTTTCATAGCTTATTCCTTCTTCTTCTTCAAGTCAACTAAAATGTTGCCTTTTCCATGAGGCCTTCCCTGTCCCTTCTATTAAAAAACCCTGCTCCACCATCCCCAATCTCTATTACTCTATTCTGTATCACTTATCACTCTTTTTTTGTTTTGTTTTGTTTTGAGACAGTCTCACTCTGTTGCCCAGGCTGGAGTGCAGTGGTGTGATTTCGGCTCACTGCAACCTCCACTTCCCGGGTTCAAGCGATTCTCCTGCCTCACCCTCCTGAGTAGTTGGGATTACAGGTGCATACTACCATGCCCAGCTAATTTTTGTATTTTTAGTAGAGGTGGGGTTTCACCATGTTGGTCAGGCTGGTCTCAAACTCCTGACCTTGTGATCCGCCTGCCTCGGCCTCCCAAAGTGCTGGGATTAATGGCGTGAGCCACTGCGACCTGCCATGTGTCACTTATCACTCTTAAACATACTGTTCAATTTACTTATTTATTTTGTTTGCGGTTTATTGTCTTACTGTCTACACAGGGCAGAAATTTTCCCTCCCGTTTTGTTCCCTGATATATCCCAGAACCTGGAGAAGTCACTGGCATTTTGTAGGTGCTCCATAAATATTTATTGAACAAACAGTGAATGAATGAGTGAATCAATGAATTTGGGAATCTTTAGCAAGTTGATTGCAGTAGAACTCACAAGGTGAGATTACCCAGGCATAGTCTGTAGAGCGATGATGAAGGGAGACACCAACATTTAGGTGTGAGCAGAGGAAGTTAAAATTATAAAGGACATTGACAAGAATCCAGACTATAGGAGGAAAACAGGAGGATGTGTCACCCAAGACAAGATGTAAGATGGCAGAGGGAGTGCAGACGACAGCGTACAACCTGACCAACATGGTGAAACACTGTCTCTAAAAAAAACAAAAACAAAAATTAGCCGGGCGTGGTGGCTCATGCCTGTTGACAACATATGAAGCAAGATCAAGGCAGAAATGTGTCTGCTGATTTGAGAGTGGCCAGGTAACTAGCAGTTTCGAGGAATAGGTAGAGCAGAAGGGAGAGTACTGTGAGTTGAGGAGTGAATGAGAAGTAATGAAGTGGAAATGGTGTGTGCATTACTATTTTGAGAAGTTTGGTCATGAAGATCAGAACGAGAAAGAATGGGAGCTGGGAAGAGGGCTCTGATTGAAGAAGTGTGTGTGTGCATTTAGATGGGAGAGATAAGCCTGACTTGAGTATTTTAAGTGATGTATGGAAACAGCCAGTAACAACCATATAATTTGTAATCTAAATCAAGGTTTTGAGAGAAAAAGGGGGCAGGACAAATGCTAAAATGGATAAATGTCAAGACAACAGGAACTATCTGCAAACCAGACCATATGGTCTCCCTGTCCACGCCTCAAGTTTTCCATGCAAGTCATTTATCCTTACACTTAGTGGGCTATTTTTTTCTGACGGTAGGTGGCAGTAAAGAGCTTGCCTCTTTTTGCCTCGTTTGGTTTGGTTTGGTTTGGTTTTTGAGAAAAATTTAATTAGAGATTTTGGATGGCAACTAAGATTGGTAAAGGTTAGCTCCACAGGCTTAAACTCAAAATAGGAGATTTCAACTTAGATTTTACTTTGGGAAAATTCATACACGTTTTTGTGAAAAAGAATATCTCTTGGTTCTCAAAGAAAAAATAATTTTTGGGTAATTATAAAATATGTTGCATTTTCACACTGAGCCATTTTATCTTTAAAATGATGAACTTCCATCTTCTTCCTAATACAGAATAATTTCCATTAGTTTTATCACTTCTTTTTTTTTGAGACAGAGTATCGCTCTGTTGCCCAGCCTGGAGTGCAATGGCACAATCTCGGCTCACTGCAACCTCCGCCTCCTAGGTTCAAGAGATTCTCCTGCCTCAGCCTCCCGAGTGGGATTACAGGTGCCTACCACCACGCCTGGCTAATTTTTGTATTTTTTTTTAGTAGAGATGGGGTTTCACCATGTTAGCCAGGCTGGTCTTGAACTCCTGACCTCAAATGATCTGCCCACCTCGGCCTCCCAAAGTGCTTGGATTACAGGTGTGAGCCACTGTGTCTGGCCTATCCCTTCAGTTTTAGCACACGCATTGCTATATGCACACATTTCTTATTTGTGTATATAAATTTTCAGTCAAGTCTAGCTTCAGTAGACTTTGGGGGACCTTGCTATTGAAGATTATAAACATTTTAAAAAACTATAGGCCAGGCGCCATGGCTCACGCCTGTAATCCCAGCACTTCAGGAGGCTGAGGCGGGCGAATCACTTGAGGTCAGGAGTTCGAGACCAGCCTGGCCAACATGGTGAAATGCCATCTCTAAAAAAAATAACAAAAATTAGCCTGGCGTGGTGGCGTGCACCTGTAATCCCAGCTACTCAGGAGGCTGAGGCAGGAGAATCACTTGAACCTCAGGAGGCAGAGGTTGCAGTGAATCGAGATCACATCACTACACTCCAGCCTGCTGGGCAACAGAGTGGGACTCTGTCTCAAAAAAAGAAACAAAACAAACAAACCAAAAACCTATGACACATAACAGCAAATTTCTTGTTATCAAAGATAGGACTAGAGATGTCTAAAGATAAGAAGTTTTAGGAGTTCGGAATGGTAAAGTGAATGAGCACACCTTATTCAGGGAATCTTGGCAGAATCTAATGTCATAAAATTTAAAATTCAGAAATCTTTGTCAGAGAAAAAACAGAATCAAAATATTATCTGCAGATCCAGCAAACAAATTTGAGTTCAAAACTCAGATTTGCATTTATTAGCTGTGTGGCCTTGAGCATGGCAAGCACTTTACCTCTAGGTCTCAGATTCCTAATCTGTGAAATGAGACTCACAGGATATACTTCAGTGGATTGTTTTGAATATTAAATGAGAAAACATATTGGTAAAATTTATACATGTTATTTTCATTCTTTTCCCTAAACATGAATATGAAGACATCCAGATTAAAATGTGGCATATGCAACCTCAACCTTTGGAAAATATATCTCAAATGATTAAGGAAAAATATTAATTTTAAGAATTGCTTTAAAACAACAAAACCAAAAAAGCCTTGGTCATACCTTAATTCAGTAATTCTTCAACTTTACGTCTCAGATCCAATATTCTAGGCACTGCTTGACACAGAGAGCAGTTTTCTTACAAGGAAATTTGGGGACCAGAGGGGGTTCTTTGCATGTTTGGATAAGTGCTAGAATTCAAATTCCTTCTCCTGAGAGTCCTCTGCCTTTTTCGTTTAATGAACTCGGTTGCTTTCTTTATTTCCTCTTTCTATCCTCATTAGCGTAAAGCAAACTCTAAAAGCAATCCACAATATCAATCACATCAAATATCATGGAATGTGGCCTCAGTCCTGGAAGATGTCTACTCCATATAGGTGACTTGGTACATTACAGTAGATTATAGTAGCTGAAAAGTATCCTTTGGCCAGCCATTGTCAAAACTAGAGTCACTAATGAGATCACAAATGAGAAGCATTCATTGTCTCTATAAGACTTCCTAAAATGCCCTTATTATTAAGGGAAGTCCTGGCTTTCTGCCAGTATCACAGACTAATTTGTTCATTAGCTGGTTGACTTCTTGGTTCTTGCATATTTCAATGGCTAAAGTTTGTAGTAAGTTTGAGAAATATAAAGAGAGGAGTATGGGGAGGAGAGCTGGCGGGAGGTGGGTGCTGGAAATGATTAAGACCACTGGAAGGGAAAAAAATGGGGTATGATATCACCATGGAAACGAAGTTTACGTATTGCAAAAATTTGCCCAAGTTGGATAGCATTCATTCATTCATTCATTCATTCATTCATTCATTCAACAAACATTTACTCGGTGTCTTTGCATGCCTAGAACCATCAAAGTTACAAATGAGAACCAAACAAGCTTGGTTCTTGTCTTCACGGAGCTTCCATTCTAGTGGGGGAAGGTACACAAAGAACAAACACAAGTAGGTTTCCCCCTGGAAAGAATAACTGGCAGGTTTGCAGGCATTACCACCTAATTTCTTTTTAAAAAGAAACCTAAAGACTTCTTTGGGTGTCCAAAGGTCTAAAATTTTAGAAGTTCAAAATGGCAAAGTGAAAGAGCACACATTATTCAGGCAATCTTGGCAGTATCTAATGTCATAACATTTAAAAATCAGAAATCTCTGTAAGAGGAAAAATAGAATCAAATTACTCTCTGTAGGTCCAGCAGACAAATTTGAGTTCAAAACCCAGATTTGCATTTTTATAATTATTTACTTTAGTAAATTACTTACAATTTACTAAAATTATAAATAATTATAGTAAAACAAAAAAATTAACAATGAGCCAGCCTCCCAGTGTCGCTCAGGAGACCTCACGGCTAAATAAGTAATCACTGCTATCCCTTCCTCTCCAGCAGTCTCCATCAACTTGTTCTGCATTCAGAGACTGTTCTTGGGCCTTCCCATACGCAGCTCACATTTGAAACTCCTGCCCCTGGTGCCTTAATGCATCTGACTGGCAGCCACACAGCCCCTCCATGTGGCTCAGTTTCAGTGGGTAGGTAGGGAAATGCCGATTTGTTTGCATTGTGCCCCACAGGCTGATTACAGTAAAGGCTGTCACACAGAGCTCTTGCATACCTAACAGGAGACTTGGTGACAGTGAAACCAAGAATGACCAATGACTGTGTGTAAAATGAATCAAGGTGAGGTGTATTGAAAGCAAAGAGGTCAATTCAAAGGCTTAGAAATAATCCAGACAGTAATCAAGGAAGAAAGCAGCCATGTCACTGGGAAGAAAAACTTCTTGGGACACTCAGTATATTCAACACGATGAAGTAATTCGCCCTGTGACATGGACAAAAGGAGCTTTCCATGCTCTAATGGGCAGTAGGATTCCATAAAGTGAATCACGTTTAAAAGAGACACTCTTAAAAAATGAAATACGTGGCCATAATCCCAGCACCTTGGGAGGCCGAGGAAAGTGGATCACGAGGTCAGGAGTTCGAGACCAGCCTGGCCAACATAGTGAATCCCTGTCTGTACTAAAAATACAAAAAATTAGCTGGGCATGGTGGTGGGCGCCTGTAATCCCAGCTACTCAGGAGGCTGAGGCAGGAGAATCACTTGAATCAGGGAGGCAGAGGTTGCAGTGAGCCGAGATCGCGCCATTACACTCTAGCCCAGGCAACAGTGGGAGACTCCGTCTCAATGAAAAATAAATAAATAAATGAATAAATAAATATTGTTCTAATGAGCAAATTTAAAAAATCCTAAGTAAAATTTGGTCTCTTTCTCATTAGTGCTTAATGGTCTTCAATCACCCCAGTCCTACTTTGAGTATATACTAAATCCCTTTCAAGGACAGATTCTAGACTTTTCCCACTTTGGCTCATCTGAAAGGTTTCTAAAAGGATTGGTCCTTAATATTTCTTTTCACAACTTAATAGCGTGATTTGAGTTTATGCACACAGAAAGAGATTTGTTCGTACCCTCCTCTCCTCTGATTTTTAAACCTTGTTCCCCTTGTTCATTCTGTATGTTGAGATGTGATCTTGCTTTTAGGAGATCAAAGAAAAAGAAAAACAAGTTTCTCTCACATGTTTGTCTTCTCTTTAACAATCCACATTGTTTTTATATCGGCCCAAGATACACCATTAAAAGTTCTGCAAAGCTTTTAAACTTTGCAGAGTAGTTTTAGACTGTGTGCAGAGAAGTCTTGTGCCAAATTGCAGAGCCTGTTTTTTTTTTTTTTTTTTTTGAGACGGAGTCTCGCTCCCTTGCCCAGGCTGGAGTGCAGTGGCACGATCTCGGCTCACTGCAAGCTCCGCCTCCTGGGTTCACGCCATTCTCCTGCCTCAACCTCCCAAGTAGCTGGGACTACAGGCGCCCACCACCACGCCCGGCTAATTTTTTGTATTTTTAGTAGAGACGGGGTTTCACTGTGGTAGCCAGGATGGTCTCGATCTCCTGACCTCGTGATCCGCCCGCCTCGGCCTCCCAAAGTGCTGGGATTACAGGCGTGAGCCACTGCGCCCGGCCCAGAGCCTGTTGTATAAGAAATTAATTTCAAATGCTAGCAGAGAGGATGGCATTATGTTTTCAAAATGATGCTACATTAATTCAGCAAGAAAAGTTTAGAGCCATTCTGAGTCAGAGGACAGGATATTTTAATCTTAAAAGATAAAAGGGCAATTCCAAATAGCTGATTATGCATAGGGTTCATCATTCATATTGATGTAAGTATTATGGGGCATTTCCTCTGTGATGACAGGGCTAGATTCTACTCACACACACTAATAAACAGTTTTTCCTCCTGGTTTATACACAACGAGGTGAATGTCTCTTTCCCCTGATGAACTAGTGTTTGGAAACAAAAACTATAATTATCTTCAGTGGAGATGGCAATTGGATACCCCAGAGAATTTGTCTGATCTTTATAAGGTATTCAGCAGTGAAAATGGGGTTTTGCAAAAAGCCAGAAGACTTGCTTTGGAATCCTAACTGTGTCACTTACTAAAATTTTGACTTTAGATAAGCTATCTAATTTCCCTGAGCCTTAGCTTCCTTGTCTGCAGAATGTGAAAAATAATGACCACCCCATAGGATGAAAAAAAAAAATTAAATCTAACGCCATATGTGAAAGTACTCAGCATTAGTCAGTCCTTAGAAAATGTTAGTCTCAGCCTGGCACGGTGGCTCATGCCTGTAATCCCAGCAATTTGGGAGGCCGAGGCAGACAGATCACGAGTCAGGAGTTTGAGACCAACCTGGCCAACATGGTGAAACCCCATCTCTACTAAAAATACAAAAAAATTAGCCAGGCATGGTGGCATGCGCCTGTAATCCCAGCTACTCGGGAGGCTGAGGCAGGAGAATCGCTTGAACCTGGGAGGCGGAGGTTGCAGTGAACCGAGATCGCGCCATTGCACTCTAGCCTGGGTGACAGAGCAAGACTCCATCTCGAGACAATGTTAGTCTCCCCTTTCCTCTGTGAGCAGGAGGAATGAAGAACATAAAGACGGTTATTAGCTACTGCTGTGTCACAAACCACATGAAAACTCAGGACCAACTCTCAGCACTGATTTTTTTTTTTTTTTTGAGACAGTCTCACTGTGCTGCCCAGGTTGGAGCGTGGAGTTCAGTGGTATGATTAGAGCTCACTGCACACTTGAACTTCTGGATTTAAGTGATCCTCCCCATTCAGCCTCCTGATTAGCTAAGACTACGGGCACGCCACCATGCCAGGCTAGTGTTTTTGTTTGTTTGTTTTAGAGATGAGGTTTCCTATGTTGCCCAGGCTGGTCTGGAACTCCTGGCCTCAAACAATCCTCCCACTTCGGCCTCTCAAAGCACTGGGATTATAGGTGTGGTGCACCTCCAGCAGGAGGTATCTGGACCCATTCACTATCATGAAAACGGCATGGGAAAGACCTGCCCCCATGATTCAATCATCTCCCACTGGGCCCCTCCCACACCACGTGGGAATTATGGGAGCTACAAGGTGAGATTTGGGTGGGGACATAGAGCCAAACCATATCATTGACCTGCTGGCACCATCAAATATTTCTGCATGATGAAATTTCAGCTCAGTTTTAAGTGTCTATGCCTACAATCATCATGGGACTCTTTCTAACTATACACTGTACATCACATACAACACCTGCATCCTTCTCTGCCACACAGATCTGCTGAGATTTGCATTATGGCTGAATTAGCCGAAATTTACATGCCAAAGGGGCATCGATATTTTTCATCTGCTGCTTTCTACGTGTAGGACAAGGCTTATATTACTGGTCCTACACTTTCCTAGAAACCAGAAACATCGGTATTATGTTACTATTTATAGTAATAGCAACAACATTTATAGGTTGTGTCCTACCATGAGGACAAGTATCTTTTTGAGGGGCAACAGTAATTACAAATCTATTGTCAGCTGTTCCATACATTGGCACCAGCCTGGTACAATAAACTTAGGAGGCTTTTCAGTTGACAAAGCCACCTCACACCATTCTTCACCTTCCACTTCATCTTACCTTTCATTATCATGGACCTAGTAGCCATCTACCCTCTATTTCTTCCAGAGACAGGATCCAACAACCTGTCAGGAGTTTCATCAGATTCTGGCAAAATTCCATTCCATCCCTACTACACAATCAAAGACATTTTGGGTCTAATTCTCCTTCTACTATTACTACTTATATTAGTTCTATTTCACCTGACCTACTAGGAGACCCAGATAATGACACTGTGGCAAACCCCCTCAACACACCACCTGACATTAAACCAGAATGAGACTTTTTATTTGCCTATGCAATTCTATGCTCTATTCCCAATAAACTAGGAGGGGTACTAGCCCTAGTCTTCTCTATTGTTATCCTAGCTATTGTTCCAATATCTAAACAGCAAAGCATAATATTCTGGCCGTCAAGCCAATACTTATTCTCAGCATCATGCACTCTACCCATGTAACAGACCTGCATATGTACCCCTGAATCTAAAAAGTTGAAATTATAAAAAGTAAAAACATATACATACATATATGTATACATGTACCTACACCTATGCAAAAAATATGTAGTGTTGGCTGGGCATGGTGGTTTGCATGGTGGTTTGCACCTGTAATCCCAGCACTCTGGGACGCCAAGGCAGGTGGATCACTTGAGGTCAGGACTTCAAGACTGGCCTGGCCAACATGGCGAAACCCTGTCTCTACTAAAAATACAAAAATTGGCGGGTCATGGTGGTGGGAGCTTGTAGTCCCAGCTACTTGGGAGGCTGAGGCAGGAGAATCACTTAACCCGGGAGGTGGAGGTTGCAGTGAGCCAAGATCATGCCACTGCACTCCAGCCTGGGCAACAGAGTGAGACTCTGTCTCAAAAAAAAAAAAAAAAAAAAAAAAAAAATATATATATATATATATATATATATAGAGAGAGAGAGAGAGAGAGAGAGAGAGAGAGAGAGTATTATTATTTTGTTTTTTTAAATTCACCTGAATAGCATACTTTATATATATTGTTCTACATACTTGGTCTTCTTGCTCAACATTGTATTTTTGATACTTGTCCTATTTGGTATATGTAGACCTAATGGGTTCCTTTTAACTACCGTCTAATGTGAGATTGCACCATTGGATGAATGGGCCACAGTCGATTTTTGCATTTTTCTACTGATGAACATGTATATAATATTTTTTATCCTCTAGGCTCAATTTAAGTGCTTTGCAAATTCTCATTCATGTATCTTTATAACAGGTAGTAGTTTTGCCTTCCTTATTTTACAGATGAGGAAACTGAGACACAGAGAAGCTAAGTTACCCACTCAAGGTCACAAGGCTAGTAAGCTAGTAAGTGACCTAGACAGGTCACACACCTGTCACATCAGAATCTGTGTCCTAAACCTGGGCTTGTTGCCTCTTTGAGGTATTTCCATTGCTCACTGTAACAGTCCTGTTTACTTATTCTCATGTCCACTGCCATGTGTACACGAAAGTTTCTTTCCAGTTATACCTAGAAACAGGATTGCTGGGTTCACATAATATCTTTCATCATGGTGAGTTTTTTTTTTTTGTTTTGCTTTGTTTTTTTGAGCACTGTTACCCAGGCTGGAGTGCAGTGGCACGATCTCGGCTCACTGCAACCTCCACCTCCCTGGTTCAAGCGATTCTCCTGCCTCAGCCTCCCGAGTAGCTGGGACTACAGCTGTGCACCACCACGCCCAGCTAATTTTTTGTATTTTTAGTAGAGACGGGGTTTCACCATGTTGGCCAGGCTGATCTCGAACTCCTGACTTCGGGCGATCTGTCCGCCTCGGCCTCCCAAAGTGCTGGGATTACAGGCGTGAGCCACCGCGCCCGGCCTGCATACTTATTTGTATGTCCACCGCCATGTGCAAATGAAGGTTTCTTTCCAGTTATACCTAGAAGCAGGATTGCTGGGTTCACATACTATCTTTCATCATGGTGAGTTTTTGCAGTGTGAACTAGAGTGGGGAATAAAGTGTCATAGGAACAATTCTGCGGCTTTGAAGGACTTCAGAGCCGTTAAATAGTTACTTCAATGTTTTATCCAGCTCTTAACTTTAGGCTCTTTTCTGTCGTGGTAATCATCTGAGATGAGGTTAATAGAATATGAAACTACTTTGAGAGAAGACAGAAGACAGAATGGCCATGTCACATAAGTAACTCTTCTGAATGGTTCATCTCAATGTACTACATTTATTTATTTTTTGTTTCGCTTTTTTTTTTTTTTTTCTGAGGTGGAGTCTCGCTCTGTTGCCCAGGCTGGAGTGCAGTGGCGCCATCTCAGCTCACTGCAAGCTCCGCCTCCCGGGTTCACGCCATTCTCCTGCCTCAGCCTCCCGAGTAGCTGGGACTATAGGCGCCCGCCACCACGCCCGGCTAATTTTTTGTATTTTTAGTAGAGACCGGGTTTCACCGTGTTAGCCAGGATGGTCTCGATCTTCTGACCTCGTGATCCGCCCGCCTCGGCCTCCCAAAGTGCTGGGATTACAGGCGTGAGCCACCACGCCCGGCTGTTTTGCTTTTTGAGACAGTCTCACTCTGTTGCCCAGGCTGGAGTGCAGTGGCGTGATTTCAGCTCACTGCAACCTCTGCTTCCTGGGTTCAAGTGCTTCTCCTGCCTCAGCCTCCTGGGTAACTGAATTACAGATGTGGGCCACCAGGCCTGGGGCTAATTTTTGTATTTTTAGTGGAGACAGGGGTTTCACCATGTTAGCCAGGCTGGTCTCGAAATCCTGAACTCAAGTGATCTGCCCCCTTTGGCCTCCCAAAGTGCTGGGATTATGGGCGTGAACCGTCATGCCTGGCCACAAATGTACTTTAATACAGCTGCATGTTGCTGTGTGATCTATTCTAGAATTGAACATTTTCTCTGTAAAATTTCTATATATCTAACTCTATATATATAATTTCTATATATCTAGCCTATATATCTAGATATATAATTTCTATATATCTAGCCTATATATCTAACTCAGTCTGCTAAACCACTGAGCATCATGAAAAATGAAAAGCAGATTCTGTATGATGGCCTAACTCAACAATTCCAAACACATTTTTGCACTATTACGAGCTTTTGGTTTTATAAACTTGCAGTATATTTGATGTAGGTCTTTATATGTTTGTGTAAGTTGGCTGTAAATGCCAAGATACACTTAATCTCTTACCATCATGCCATTCTCATTCAGATATAAACTATAGCAACCTCACTTGGAAAAGAATCAACACACTTGTTGCCGTAGTAATCAAGGCCACTCATTAAGTTTAAAAAAGCTATCTTACAGATGAGATATCCCCAATGCCCTTACCCATCAAATGGAAATAGAATTGAAGGGCTTTTGGTTAATCCTTCCTGAAGACCTTTTTGCTTTGGCTTAGTCTAAAATAGCAAACACATAAACTATAACACACCTCTCAGAATTGGTAAGATCCATACTGCTCTTTCCCCAACATTGGTCCATTTCTGGGGATTCTTCAGGGACACACAAAAGAAAGAACCTGTTTGTGTGTCTGGTTTAAAGGAATCCTGTCTGCATGGGCTTGCGTTTGAAGGCTGGTTCTCAGCTCACCAGTTGAACAGTTCTAATCACATCTCTGTGAGCCATTGTTTCCTCATTGTAAAATGGGGATAGCACCCACCTCATTGACTAACTCGTTCATATACGTTGGTTCAACATCTATTGAGTACCTCAAGTCCCTATTCTCAAGTTGTTCACAGTCCAGTAGGGGAAATAGATATATTTAATGATATGGAAGAAATCATAATTTTTAGCAGGTTGCAAGAGGCAGTTTTGTTGGATGAGTGCTTTGATATTCCCTTTCCGAAGCTAGGGCTCCATGACTTGTTAAGTAATTGGTGCATTGTGCTGAAAGAAACCAACTGTGCTGCCCTGTGTGAATTACTAAAAGGAATGCATCTGTTCCTGGGAGGCGGGGAGGGAGGGCAGAAGGGATCTGGCCCTGCAGTGGGGTGGGGTGGAGGAGCACCCTCAGTTGGTGGGGGCAGACATGTCCAAGGGAACTTATAAAACTGTGGGTGACATAAAACCCTCTTCCATCACCCCTGTAAAGTCTCCAGCAAAATCTACATTGGCCACTAGTGCTTTAGGTGTAAATAAGATTCTGGAGAATTCAAAGGCAGCCAGACATCATAATCATACATTATGCAAAAGTGGTTTCCAAACTGCAGGTCAGGATTTTTCGGTGCATGTGAAAGCAATTTGGTGCACCATGCCCGGCATTCAACAAGGGAAATAGAACAGTATAGAAAACTTCAGGGCACCTTGCAAATAGTAGAGGTAATGATGCTTTCTGAAACTTTTTTATGTAGGTCCTCAGCTGTGGAATAAAATGTTTTTCTTTTTGTAGGTCATGGTCAAAAAGAGAGAATCTCGGTATTATAATACATTGTGCTGATTACAATAGCAATTTTTTTTTTTTTTTTTTGAGACAGAGTCTCTCTCCTGTCGCCCAGGCTGGAGTGCATTGGCGCGATCTCGGCTCACTACAACCTCTGCCTCCTGGGTTCAAGCGATTCTCCTGTCTCAGCATCCCGAGTAGCTGGGACTTCAAGCGCCGGCCACCATGCCCAATTAATTTTTGTATTTTTAGTAGAGATGGGGTTTCACCATGTTGGCCAGGCTGGTCTCAAACTCCTGACCTCAGGTGATCCGCCCACCTGGGCCTCCCAAAGTGCTGGGATTACAAGCGTAAGCCACCACGCCCAGGCTACAATAGTAATCTTGATGGCTCACTCTGCTCTCACTGGTCCCTAGAATCCTTATAAAAGGGGTCTTGGTTCAACAGTTCCCTGGGTTGAAGACTAGCTTCTACCTCCTGTTTTCTCCAATTCTCTGTTTTAAAGTCCTTTGGATCTTCCTTTTGCATCCTTGCAGAGCCTCTTTGGGCTCCTGTCTCGGCCCAGCTCGCCTTGCTCTGAGGGTTGCCTTTGATCTGGTCAGAACTCCACTCCACTTCTGCCAGCTCGACTCCCACGTTGGAGGCAGGAAATAGCACTCTCTTGTTCTTGCATGTATCAAGTCCTTTGCCTGCTCTCTGCTCCTACAGCTCTTTGGCCTGGCTAATTCCTACTTATTTTCAGGTCTTAGCAGAAATGGAGCATTTACAATGAAGCTAATGAAGCTTAAGCTTCAGGGTCTGTGCCAAACCCTGACACCCAATTTTGTAATCTGGTATTCATTTTCTTAGGGTTGGATTTCATGAGGCCTCATGAAACCTGAATCCACTTCTGGGTCTCAGTTTAGAAAACCTCACCTCCTAACTCCTTGCAGTGTGGGTGCTGATCTCCTATACATGCCCTTGGGTCCCCTGCACCCACTCCCAGGACAGCCCTGACCACACTCCCCCATAGGCTTGCCAGTCTTCACCCCGAAACTCACATAAAGGAACTATGCCAGTCCTTGCTGGTGAGTGCCAAGGTGCCCTCATAGTAGACAATAAATAAAAATGTGGTAAATGTCTGAACTTCATAAGTTGATTTGGGGAAACAATGCTTTTTATGCTTCCCAAAGTATTCCATAAAACTGCTGACAGGGGCCGGGCATGGTGGCTCATGCCCGTAATCCCAGCATTTTGGGAGGCCGAGGCAGGCGGATCACTTGAGGTCAGAAGTTCAAGACCAGCCTGGCCAACATGGCGAAACCCCATCTCTACTGAAAATACAAAAATTAGCTGGGTGTGGTGGTGCACGCCTGTAATCCCAGGTACTCAGGAAGCTGAGGCAGGAAAATTGCTTGAACCCCAGAGGTGGAGGCTGCAGTGAGCCGAGATCATGTCACTGCACTCCAGCCTGGGCAACAGAGCGAGACCCTGTCTCACAACAAAACAAAAAAAACACCAAACCAAAACAAAAAATCCTGCTGATAGCAATGAAGAGGAATGAGGATTAGCCAAGAAGAAAGTTTCAGAACACTGACCTCCCCTGCCCTGGCCCGTGTTTGTGGAGTGCTGCTGTTCCTGATTGTGCTCCATTTCTGAGAGGTTAAAGGAATTTGTGTCAATTCCACCAAGTAAAGATAGCTTAATTGTCTGCCCCACCACCTAAGGATCTCTCTGGAGCAGATATTTTTATTAGAAAATCAGAAACAGGCCAGGCGCGGTGGCTCATGTCTATAATCCCAGCACTTTGGGAGGCCAAGGCAGGTGGATCACTTTTGGTAAGGAGTTCAAGACCAGTCTGGCCAACATGGTGAAACCCCATCTCCACTAAAAATACAAAAATTAGCTGGGGGTGGTGGTGCGTGCCTGTAATCCCAGCTACTCGAGAGGCTGAGGCAGGAGAATCGCTTGAACTCAGGAGGTGGAGGTTGCAGTGAGCCAAGATTGCACCACTGCACTCCAGCCTGGGCGACACAGTGAGACTCCATCTCAAAAAACAAACAAACAAGCAAACAAAAAACCAGAAACAAAAGATATAGCATCTCCTCAAACCGAAGAGCTGTCAAATTTGTCAATTTTTCTTTTGCTTAGAGTTCATGATATTAAATGATTTGTCTTTTCCTTTCCTTTTCTTACTGAAGCCTTCAGTTAAAGCAGTCTGACTCTAATCTAGCCCTGACCCAGTTACTCTTGCTCAGGTGCAGCCCTGGGAGCTCTGGGGTCTCCTTTCTGTTCTTTTTCCCCTCGTGGATTATTCTTCCTAAAAGCGGATGACAGTGGTTGAGAACACAGGCTCTGAATCAGGCTTTCTGGGTTCACATCACAGTTTCCTCCATTTACGGATTGTGTGACTGGGAACTTGAGCAAGTGAGTTGATTGGCTAGCGAATCAAGTCAACATCAGGAATGTTGCAAGCCTGCAAATGTTACCATGGTAGCTTGAAAGTGGCTTTGGTTGGGAGTATTTACTGATTAGCTTGAAATTTACTTTGATTGGCAGTATTTACTAATTGTGTGACTAGGAACTTGAGCAAGTGACTTGTTTGGCTAGGGAATCAGACCAACATCAGGAATGTTGCAAGCCTGTTGATGTTACATTGGTAGCTTGAAATTGGCTTTGATTGGAAGTATTCACACCATGGAAATTGGCAAATGCTGCAAATCAGTGCCTGCCCCTTTCCCCAACCTGGGCATTACTATTTACCAGAACATCAAGCTCAGTTTCCTCATCTATAAAATGGGAGCAATAATAGTACCTACCTTGTGGAGAATTTTGTGACAGTTTCATCGTGCATGGTAAATACTTCGTGCTTGTGAGCTGCTCTTAGTATTTCCCTCATTTTACAAGGTCCAGTGCCTTTTTGTTTCATGTGCCCCATTCTGACACAGCTTCAAACACAGGACCAGCCAGATCTAGCACATGCCTTGGCAATAAACTTATTTTTTATTTTTTGATAGGTAGTCTTGCTCTGTTGCCCAGGCTGGAGTGCAGTGGCACAATCTCAGCTCACTGCAACCTCCGCCTCCCAGGTTCAAGTGATTCTCCTGCCTCAGCCTCCCAAGTAGCTGGGATTACAGGCGCCTGCCATGAGGCCCAGCTAATTTTTGTATTTTTAGTAGAGATGGGGTTTCACCATGTTGGCCAGGCTGTTCTCAAACTCCTGACCTCAGGTGATCTGCTCGCCTCGGCCTCCCAAAGTACTGGGATTACAGGCATGAGCCAGTAACAAACTTAAAAAAAAATTACTTAGCTAGATTATTTAGTCTTCAAACAGCCAGCTCATAACTGATAGGAAATGTGTGGTCTTAGGTTGTTTATAAGGCATACCCTGGTGACACATATGTTATAAAATTAGAATTCTTCTAAATCTAGCGCTGATTACTTATGTTATATATATTTCATTTGGCTGGGTGTTAGAAAGAATTTCTTCTTTGAGATTTCTATTATTTTTTCTCCCAATTAAGGCAAAGACTGTAAGGATAGTTTATTACAGCATTTGGTGGTTCAGTAAACAAACATGCTCTAAAAAACCTAAATAGCTGTGTTGAAGTAAAACATGTGTCCCAAATTCACATGAATTATATGCAAGTTAATACTTTGGTGAGCAAATAAACTCTTGGTAATATATTGCTGTCACCTGAGGGCTAAAAATATAATATATATTATAAATATCTGACTCAATCTGATCATGAATGAATTGATCACTTACGTGTATTTAAATATAATGGCAAAGCTTAAGCTCAGTATTCTCTTAAATGAGTTCATTTACTCTCAATAGGTTTGGGGGCCTTTATTTACTGAAAAAACAGATTCACGATTATTGGAATATGTGTTTTTTTTTTTAATTTTTAGTTTTTTGAGACAAGGTCTTTGAATTAATCACGTGTGTATTTAAATATAATGGCAAAGCTTAAGCTCAGTATTCTCTTAAATGAGTTCATTTACTCTCAATAGGTTTGGGGGCCTTTATTTACTGAAAAAATAGATTCACGATTATTGGAATATGTGTTTTTTTTTAATTTTTAGTTTTTTGAGACAAGGTCTTTGAATTAATCACTTATGTGTATTTAAATATAATGGCAAAGCTTAAGCTCAGTATTCTCTTAAATGAGTTCATTTACTCTCAATAGGTTTGGGGGTCTTTATTTACTAATAAAGTAGATTCATGATTATTGGAATATGTGTTTTTTTTTAATTTTTAGTTTTTTGAGACAGGGTCTTGCTCTCGCGCCCAGGCTGGAGTGTAGTGGCCCAATCATGGCTCATTGCAGCCTCAGACTCCTGGGCTCAAGTAATCCTCCCACCTCAGCCTCCCAAGTAGCTGGGACTATAAGCACATGCCATCATGCCCGGTTATTTTTTCCTTTTCTGAGATGGAGTCTAACTCAGTCACTGGGGCTGGAGTGCAGTGGCACAATCTCAGCTCACTGCAACTTTCACCTCCTGGGTTCAAGTGAGTCTCCTGCCTTAGCCTCCCAACTAGCTGGGATTACAGGTGGGTGCCACCATGCCTGGCTGATTTTTGTGTTTTTAGTAGAGATGGAGTTTCACCATGTTGGCCAGGCTGGTCTTGAACTCCTGACCTCAAGTGATCCACCCACCTCCGCTTCCCAAACTGCTGGGGTTATAGGTGTGAGCTAGCGCGCCGGGCCTGTGGCTATTAAAAAAATTTTTTGTGTGTGAAGATGGTGTCTCCTTTTGTTGCCCAGGCTGTTCTTGAACTCTTGGGCTTAAGTGATCCTCCCATTTTGGCTTCCCAAAGTGCTGGAGTTACAGGTATGAGCCACTGCACCTGGTCAGAATATGTATATCTTAATCTAACTTTATCAGCATTTAAGTGACAGGAAGTGAAAATGTTATTAATGCACAATTGATCACAAAACCATCACAGGTTCTGCAACGAGGATGAGTTTATATGAGAATTCTTCATCCAAGATGCTTGGAAGTTCATCTCTTCAAAGGATTGCCCTCTTCGGAAACAAGTAATAGCCTGCTTTGATGATGTTTACAAAATACCACATGTCAACATTTAAGAAGACAATGGTTTTCAAAGGAACTGGAAACTCCTTTCCTGGATTGAGAAGGCAGACTCTATGGCCACTGAGACTCCTTCTCCTTCAAGATGCTCTGAGGTCAACAAGTACCTTGTTTGCCTCTGGGAATTCTTTCCCTTGCAGTAGTAAACCTTTTCCAGGCCTTTTTCTATCACTGGAATTGCGTCTGGTCTCAGCAACAAGTTTCAGGAAAATTAATATACATAGGTCCCCCTTCTTTCTCAGGCAGAGGGACATCCCCAGAGGATGCAGGACTACCATCATGAGAGTGGACTGGTGGCTTTTTTTTTTTTTTTTTGAGACAGAGTCTCACCCTGTTGCCCAGGCTGGAGTGCAGTGGCGTGATCTTGGCTCACTGCAACCTCCGCCTCCTGGGTTCAACCGATTCTCCTGCCTCAGCCTCCCAAGTAGCTGGGATTACAGGCACACGTCACAACACCCGGCTAATTTTTGTATTTTTGTATTTTAGATGGGGTTTCGCCATGTTGGCCAAGCTGGTCTCAAACTCCTGACCTCAGGTAATCTGTCCACCTCAGCCTCCCAAAGTGCTGGGATTACAGGCATGAGCCACCGCGCCCGGCCGGACTAGTGACTTTATAAGAAGAGCTTCTCCCACTCTTCCCTGCTCCTGATCCTTCAGCATGCCAGAGTTGGGCTTCCGGAGTCTCATGTGGTCAGTAACGTTATTACTAATCCAACTTGTGCTCAAGCAACCTTGGCCCCACTGGAAAGGTTTGTCTCCACCACTGCTGACGAGTTCAATCTAGGTGGGAGGCAGTGGCCGTCACCCTGGCTAAGCATCTGCAATGTCCTTCTGACCACAGCCCACCACCTCTCCTGCTCATAAGCCTCCTGCCCTGGACCTCCCAGGCCTGAGCTCTGCTGCCCATTGTGTGTTCTGGTTTGCAGAATTAGGCTTCTGCTATGGTCTCTGCTATGATTTGCATATTTGTCTCCTTAAGAACTCATGTTGAAACTTGATCCCCAGTGTGGGATTATTGAGAGACGGGGCCTTTTCAAGGTGATTGGGTCATGAGGGCTCTACCCTTGAGAATAGATTAATCCATTAATTAATTAATAATTAATAAATTAATGGATTAATGGGTTATGAGAGTGGGACTGGTGGCTTTATAAGAAGGGAAGAGAGACCTGAGCTAGCACACTCAGACACTCGCCATATGATGCCCTGAGCTGTCTCAGGACTCTGGAGAGAGTCCCCACCAGCAAGAAGGCCCTCACCAGATGCAGCCCCTCAACCTTGGACTTCCCAGCTTCTGGAACAGTAAGGAATAAATGTAATTTCTTATAAGTAACCTAGTTCCAGATATTCTGTTATAAGCAATAGAAAATGTACTAAAACCACTATTAATAAAACAGTCTCTACTGCAAATTCTTTTCTGGAAAGTGCTAGTTCTCCAGACTCAATATAGGAACCCAGATTTTGCTCTAGCCAGCAGGCCCATCATGGGGCTGGGGCCTGGCCCTGTGAGCCTTCCCAGTGGCTTTGTCCCAGCTACGTGAATGTGTGTTTTCATGCTCTCCCATCTCTATGTCTCCTGTCCCCAGGATGACTGCCAACCTGCCAGCATTCTCCAGCATCACCCACCAAGGTGCCCTCAAACTCCTCTGTCGTCCTCCCCAGCTGCTCACTGTTTTCATGTGAACCTTGAGTATCAACTATTTTCCCACCTCCTCCAAGGGGAGAGCATAGCAAAGTGGTTAAGAGCCTGTGCTCTGGCACTGGATAGCCTGGTTCCAGCTTCACCTGTTACGACTTATGTGACTTTGGCAAGTCACTTAATCTCTCATGCCTCACTTTGCCATCTTTAAAAATGGGTTTAATCCTAGTGCTCACAGGTTTGTCATGAGCATATATAAAGTGATATTTGCAAAGTACGTAGAAGACGGATTGGCACCTGGTAAGCTCTGTATAAGGATTTGATCATTGTGTTAGTTTGCTAGGGCTGCCATAACAAAGTACTATAGACTGGATGGTTTAAACAACAGAAATGGATTTCCTTACAGTTCTGGAGGCTGGAAGTCTGAGATCAAGGTGACCACAGGGTTGGTTGCTTTTGAAGCCTCTCTCTCCTTGGCTTGCAGACAGCTGTCTTTTCTTCATGTCCTCAAATGGTCTTCCCTCTGTGTGTGTCTGTGTCCTCATCTCCTCTTCTTATAATGATACCAGTCATATTGGATTAAAGTCCACCCTAATGACCTCATTTTTGCTTTATTATCCCTTTAAAGGCCCTATTTTCAAACACAGTAGCCTCTCTTTTTCTGTGGGGATACATTCCGAGACCCCCAGTGAATGCGTGAAACCATTGATAGTACCAAACCATATATATATATATACCATGTTTTTTTCTATACATACGTACCTATGATAAGTAAGAGATTAACGACAGTAGCTAATAATAAAATAGAACAATTTTAACAATATGCCAGCATCACTACTCTTGTGCTTTGGGTCCCTTATGAAGTAAAATAAGAATTATTTGGATACAAGCACCATAATATCACAACAGTGATAACCAAGACAGCTCCTAAATGACTAACAGCATGGGGTATCTACAGGGTGGCTATATGGATTAAGGGATGATTCACATCCTGGGTGGGACCGAGTGGGATGGCATGAGATTTAATCATGCTACTCAGAATGGAATGCAATTTAAAATGTATGAATTATTTCTGGAACTTTCCATTTAATATTTTTGGACTGCAGTAGACCATGGGTAATGGAAACTATAGAATGTGAAACTGCAGATAAGGGGGAACTACTATATGGTTATATTATGAGGTATTAGGGTTTAGGATTTCAACATACGAATTTGGAAAGGAGGTACAATTCAGCCCAAAACAATAACTAAATGAATAATTTGTGCCTGGACACTGCCAAGCTCCTGCAGCCATTGCTATAGACTGAATGTTTGTGTCTCCCTGAAACTCATCTCTTGAAACCCCACCCCCTAAAATTCAATGGGGCCTTTGGGAGTGATTAGGATTAGATGAGGTCAGGAAGGCAGGATTAGTGCCCTTGTAAGAGTCCTGAGGCAGTTTGCTCCCCTCTGCTCTGGGTCACATGAGAACACAGTGAGAAGAGGGCCATCTGCAGCCCAGGAGAGGCCTCACGAGAAGCTATGCTGGTGCCCTCATCTCAGACTTCCAGCTTCCAGAACTGGGAGAAATACATTTCTGCTGTGTATAAGCTACTCAGTTGGCCGGGTGCGGTGGTTCATGCCTGTAATCACAGCACTTTGGGAGGCCAAGGCAGGAGGATCACAAGGTCAGGAGTCCGAGACCAACTTGACCAATGTGGTGAAACCCCGTCTCTACTAAAAATACAAAAATTAGCTGGGCATGGTGGCTTGCACCTGTAATTCCACCTACTCGGGAGGCTGAGGCAGGAGAATCACTTGAACCTGGGAGGCAGAGGTTGCAGTGAGCCAAGACCATGCCACTGCACTCCATCCTGGGCGACAGAGTGAGAATCTATCTCAAAAAAAAAAAAAATCTACTCCGTCTATGGCATTTGTTTTTTATAGCAGTGTATACTGGCTAAGACCATGCCCTTTTGACTATCTCTGGCTGGCCCCGCGATGGCTGTCTAGAGTGATTTCTCCCCAGCGTTAGCCTGGGACAGCAGCTGGACATCCTTCACCAGCTCCATCAGAGTGACAGCAGCCGGCTCTCCCCCTCTTTCCCTTCTAGGTCCCTGCATGACCTGGCCTTGTAGAGGAGGGGCCCAGCCTTTGGTATCTTGGTCCACTGCTTACTCATTCAAAATTGGCAGAGGTGAAAACTGGAATATAACAGAGAAATCAGCTCACCACAAAAAGACAGCACTACTTGTTAGTATAGTTGAGGCTTGAACAACAGGGGCTTAAACTGCGTGGGTCCACTTATATGTGGATTTTCTTCCACCTCTGCCGCCCGGAGACAGCAAAGCCAACTCCTCCTCTTCCTCTTCCTCCTCAGCCTACTCAATGTGAAGATGAAGATGAGGATGAAGACTTTTATGATGATCCACTTTCACTTAATGAATAGTAAATATACTTTATCTTCTTTATGACCTTCCTTCCTTCCCTTCCCTTCCCTTTCCTTTCCCTTCCCTTCCTTTCCCTTCTCTCTTTCTTTCCTTCCTTCCTTCCTCCCTCCTTCCTTCCCTCCCTCCCTCCCTCCCTCCCTCCCTCCCTCCCTCCCTCCCTCCCTCTCTCTCTCTCTCTTTCTTTCTTTCTCTTTCTTTTCTTTCCTTCTTTCGTCCTTTCCTCTGTCACCCAGACTGGAGTGCAGTGGCACAACCTAGCTCACTGCAGCCTCCAACTCCTGAGCTCAAGCTATCCTCCCATCTCAGCCTCCCAAAGTCCTAGGATTACAGGCATAAGCCACCATGCCTGGCTCTCTTTCTTACAGTTTTCTTAATAAAATTTATTTTCTCTGGCTTATTTTATTGTAAGAATACAGTATATGATACACATGACATAAAAAATGTATTAATTGACTGTTTATATTCTTGGTGAGACTTCTGGTCAACACTAGGCTATCAGTAGTTAAGTTTTTGGAGAGTCAAAAGTTGTGTGTGGCTGGGCGCGGTGGCTCACGCCTGTAATCCCAGGACTGGGAGGCTGAGGCGGGTGGATCATCTGAGGTCAGGAGTTTGAGACCAGCCTGACCAACATGGCAAAACTCTGTCTCTACTAAAAATACAAAAATTAGCTGGGCGTGGTGGCGTGTGCCTGTCATCCCAGCTACTCGGGATGCTGAGACAGGAGAATTGCTTGAACCCAGGAGGCGGAGGTTGCAGTGAGCCGAGATCGAGCCACTGCACTCCAGCCTGGGTGACAGAGCAAGACTCCATCTTGAAAAGAAAAAAAAAGTTATAAGTGAATTTTTGACTGCTAGGAGGAGGGAAAGGGGTTGGTGCTCCTAATCCCTGCATTGTTCAAGGGTCAATTGTGGTTAGAAACAAAGTCAAGTCCCAGCCACCAGAGAGATATTTAATGGTTAATATTGGGTTAATACTGTGGCCCCTTCCTAGACCCTGAATGTTTTCCCAAATAAGTACTTCGACCTCCAAAATGACTTTTGCCCAGGCTGGAGTGCAGTAGCACATTCTTGGCTCACTGCAACCTCTGCCTCCTGGTTCAAGAGATTCTCCTGCCTCAGCCTCCCGAGTAGCTGGGATTACAGGTGTGCACCACCAGGTCCAGCTAATTTTTGTATTTTTAGTAGAGACGGGGTTTCGCCATGTTGGCCAGGCTGGTCTTGAACTCCTGACCTCCTCCTGCCTCAACCTCCCAAAGTGCTGGGATTACAGGTGTGCGTCATTGTGCCCCGTCCTTCGAAAGGCTTTTATCATCACCTCTTGAAATAGCAATTTTGAAGTTTGAGAGCTTTCATTACAGACTTGACCTCCCCTTCTGGTGCTGATTATGGGAAAGTGCTATCTTTCCGGCATATCATGAGTTATTTTCTTCATAATTCAGTTCCTGGAGTGAGGGGGTCTTAGCTTGTACTCCTGTATAAACAGACTGTGATGTTGATGTGTTATGAAACTGGAGCGCGATGGGCACCCAGTTACTAGCTGGTAAGTGTTACTGTCTCTCCTTCCCTCCATGCATCTTCGGCAAATGACCAACTCTTATCTGAAATTCTGAGTCTTTGTGTGGACTCGTTACCACAATAATTATGGATAGGGTAAATACAGTTAATGCCTATTTACTGAGCATGTGTTATGTCCCAGGCATGTGTTAAATACTTATGTGATTTCATGAATCATCAAGAGCTGCCTGTGAAATAGGTGTTATTATCCTCATTTTACTAGATGAAGAAATGAGAGCTTTGGACAGTGGCAAAGCCAGTAGATGTCAGAGCCAGGATTTCAACCCGAGCATCTCTGATTCCAAAGCCCAGGCTCTTTGCCATTCTGATTTTTGGTTTTTGGCCTCCTAAATACCTCCTGGCTCAATTTTTATTTATCTATCAAGCAAGGTGTCTTCTTTCCTCTTGGATTTTCTTCTTCCTATGTAATTTTTTTGTTTTGTTTTTTTGAGACAGAGTCTCACTCTGTATTTTAGGCTGGAGTGCAGTGGCACGATCTTGGCTTACTGCAACCTCCGCCTCCAAGGTTCAAGTGATTCTCCTACCTCAGCCTCCCAAGTAGCTGGGACTACAGATGCGCACCACCATGCACAGCTAATTTTTGTATTCTTAGGAGAGACAGGGTTTCACCGTGTTGTCCAGGCTGGTCTCGAACTCCAGACCTCAGGTGATCTGCCCGCCTCGGCCTCCCAAAGTGCTGGGACTACAGGTGTGAGCCACTGCTCCCGGCCGTAATTTTTAACTAAAGGAAGCTGTGCCAATGTGGATCTGCACTTCCAAATGTTACACACCAGTAAGGGCTAAGATGAAACAACTAATTATTTGATCAGGAGAAAGGTATTAGAAAAGTAGCATCAAAGGCCAGGCACAGTGGTTCATGTCTGTAATCTTAGCACTTTGGGAGGCCAAGGCGGGAGGATCGCTTGAGCCCAGGAGTTTGAGACCAGCCTGGGCAACATCGCGGGACCTCGTCTCTATAAAAAATAGAAAACTTAGGCATGGTGGCGTGTGCCTGTAGTCCCAGCTATTCAGGAAACTGAGGTGGGAGGATTGCCTGAGACCAGGAGGTACAGGCTGCAGTGAGCCACGATCGTGCCACTGCATTGAAGCCTGGGTGACACAGCGAGACCCCATCTCAAAAACACAAAACAAAGCAAAAAGAAATAAATAAAGAAGAGTGGCATCAGCTGCATAGCACTGGATTTGTCCAAACCAATGAATTCCTTTATTTTGCCCCAGGGATTGGTTTATATGTAAAATCAAATTGAATGAAGTCTAATATAACTGAAAAAGAAAAGATGAGATAAAATGTACTAAATAATGAGAATTTTACCAAATGATTTGGAAAGAACAGCCAGAGAATGCATACTTGTGCGCACACCTGGCCATGGTAATAATAGGTCTCTTTTCTCACGGAAACACTTCAGATACTCCCTACTCCTAATAACAGGCCTTATGTGTGAACTAAACGGACCATGTTACCTTCGTGTTTCATGGGACAATGTTTCTTTCCTCTTCAAGCTGTTCTTTCACTTCTTAGCAGCAGTGGCCCTCCCCGGCCTTAATTACCACAATGAAACCAGTACACAGCTACACTGTGTGAAGGTGCATTTATAGAATGCAGGTGCTTTTTGATTTTTAAATGGCAAGAAAGTATAACAATACTATGAAGTCAATAGTGTGCACACTCCAGCCTGGGAGACAGAGCAAGACCCTATCTCAAAAAAAAAAAAAGTGTGCTTTCATGGTTAATTAGTAGCTGCTTTTTTTTTTTTCTTTTCTTGAGACAGAGTCTCACTCTGTTGCCCAGGCTGGAGTGCACACTATGAGTAATTAGTGAGTAACTAATAATTTTTATTAGCGAGTGTGTTTTGCGGATATTGACCATTAGTGTTCTTCTAGTTGAAGTTCAACAATGATTTTTCATGTCATTAGTCATAGTTATAGTCCATGTGGGAACAATGGCATATTTTATATCTTTATTAAGTGTCCTTTTGGTTATAGGGTTTGTAGGTTTCTCCTTGAAACCTTCTCCTATTTATGGGGGCCTAGAGCTAATTATTAGTGGTGCTGTAGGTTGTGGTATTGTGTTGATTTTTGGTGTGGCTTTTGTGGGGTTGACAGTCTTTTTGGTTCACTTGGGTGGCATGATGGTTGTTTTTGGCTATACCATGGCAATGGCTGCTGAGGAATATCCTGAAACATGAGGGTCAAATATTGACATCTGAGGGGCTTTACTATTATGAGTATTAAAGGGGTTGCTGTCGGTTTGGTGAATAGTTGAGCATGATGGGGTGGGGATCATGATTGATTTTAACAGCATAGAGAGTTGGATGATTTTTGAGGGGGAGGGGGAGGGGTTGTTGCATGAGGATCCTGTGGGTGCGGCTGCCTTGTATAGTTATGGGTGTTGAATAGTGGTAGTTGCTGGTTGATCATTATTTGTTACTATTTACGTTGCGATTGAAATTACTCGGGGTAATAGATTAGATAATTAGGAGTAGGGTTAAAAGGGATGGGATAAAAAAAGAGAGAAAGTAGAGTTTAATTAGGCCTTTTTGAGTAGACACAGTAATGGAGGCTGAAATTTGGGTTTGTGAAATGGTCTTTGGTATAGACTTTTCTAGTCAAATTAGGTCTAGTAGTAGTGAAGCCAGATTTTGGCTTGTGGATAGGTTTGAGTTGGGGGTTGTATGGTGAATTGTGACTGAATAGAATCCTAGTATTTTGGAGAAGTTGAATGTCTGTAGTGGGTATTTTAGTTTAAGGTTATTAGTTATGAGATTAAACTCCATTGCTAGTAAGAAGCCTAAGGTGGTCACACCTAGGGCTGTGAGCTTCAGGTGGAGTGGTATGGTTGTTTGGGGGGATGACGCAGGAATAATACTGTTGGTGAGGAGGAATCCGGCGAAGATGCTGCTGATTGTTAGGTGTTTAATTAGGAAGGGGTTATTTTCGTTAATAATAACCAGAGTCATGAAGTAAGGTTGCCCTATTAGAGCGAAGAAAATAATATGGGTACTGTAGACAGCTGTCAAGGAGGTGGCAATAAGCGTAATAGAAAGGGCTCAGGCATTGGTGTATGATGTGTTTGCAGGTTCAATAATGAGGTCTTTGGAGTAAAAGCCTGTGAGGAAGGCATACCTGTAAGTTGTGAGGCTGCTGATAAAATGGGAGGAGGAAGTGAGGGGTAGAGTCTTGAATAGCCCTCCTATTTTTCGGATGTCTTGTTCTTCACTGAGGTTATGGATGAGGGACGCTGAACATATAAATAATATAGTTTTGAAAAAGGCATGGGTGCAGATGTGAAGGAATGCTAGATGCAGCTGATTAATGCCAATTGTGACTATTATAAGGCCTAACTGGCTTGAGGTGGAGAATGCTATGATATTTTTGATATCATTTTGTGTTACAGCACAGGTGGCTGTGAATAAGGTAGTAATAGCCCCCAGACATAATGTAAAGGTTTGGATTGATAGGTTATTTTCTATTAAAGGGTAGAAGCAGATGAGCAGGAACACTCCTGCTACAACTATAGTGCTGGAGTGGAGTAGGGCTGAGACTGGGGCTGGGCCTTCTATGGCAGATGGGAGTCAGGGATGGAGGCCGAATTGAGCTGACTTTCCTGCTGCTGCTAAGAGAAGGCTAATTAATGGGAGGGAGTTGGGGGTAGGGTCTAGAATTTATTTTTTGCTGATATTCTCATGTGTTGGAGGACAGGAGGAATCATGCTATAGCTGAAATAAAGCCAATATTGCCGATGCGGTTGTACAGAACTGCTTGGCTGCTGTATTAGCATCTGCTCGGCCGTACCATCAGCCGATTAGTAAGAAAGACATGATTCCTACGCCTTCTCATCCAATGAAGAGCTGAAAGAGGTTGTTGGCGGTAACCAGAATTAATATTGTGATGAGGAAAATAAGTATTTGAACAATTGATTAATGTTAGGGTCTGAGTTTATATATCATATTGAGAATTCTATAATAGATCAGGTAATGAACAGTGAGTGTTACTGGGATAAATATTGTGGAGAATTAGTCTAGCTTGAAGCTTAGTGAGAGTTTGAGAGTTTGGACGGTCATTCAGTGTCAGTTTGAGATAATGACTTCTTGGTCTGTGCATATCAACATTGTTGTAGGAATGAGGCTAATAACGAAGGCACATGCGATAGATGTTTTTACGTAATTTGGGTGTGAAACTTTTGCGGGGGTTGGCTAAGGTAATGGTAATCGGTAAGATTAAGGGGATTAGGGATGTTATAGCAGTGGAAGAATACATGTTTGTTGCTTTATTTGGAGTTGCACCAATGCTTTTGGCTCCTAAGACCAACGGATGACTCTAATCCTTTAAAAGTTGAGAAAGCCATGTTGTTAGGCATGGGGGCACGAGTTAGCAGTTCTTGCATACTTTCTCAGTAGGTAAGAAGTTGCAGGCTTCTATGATTAGATCTGCAATCTAATGTTTTGGTTAAACTGTAGCTACAGCATGCAAACCCCATAATAAGTTTAGGGTTTAAAGATAATAGGAAGATAGACGCAAGATGTATAAGTATTAATGTGTTCTCTCGTGTAAAGGAAGGTTTAGTACTGTTAATATAATATGCAAGTGTCCCTCGTTGTGTTGTGATTAGCATATTTAGGGAGTAAAGGGCTGTAATTAGTATATTAAGTCCTATAAGCATAATAGTGATATTAGATCAGAAGAATGAGGCCACGGTCACAAAGAGTTCTACTAGATTAATGGTGTGGGGTAAGGCAAGGTTAGTAAGATTTGCTAGAAGTCATCAAGAGGCTATTAGCAGAAGCAGTGTTTGAAGGCGTTCGGTAAGTAATAGGGTTCACCTATGGGCCTGCTCGTAGTTTGAATTTGCTAGGCAGAATAGTAAGGCTGAAGTGAGTCCATGAGCAATTATAAGGGTGACTGCACCTGTTAAGCTTCAAGGGGTCTGAATGAGGATAGCCATGATAACAAGTGCTATGTGGCTTACAGAGGAGTAGGCAATACATGATTTTAGATCAGTTTGTCATAGACAAATAGAGCTTGTCATAACTCTCCCTCATAGGGACAGTATGAGGAAAGGGTATGCTATATGTTCTGTTAGGGGATTGAGGAGAAGAGTAAGTTGTATTATACTGTAGCCACCTAGCTTTAGGAGTCCTGCTCCAGGTACTATCGAGCCGCAATAGGGGCTTCTACGTGGGCTTTGCGGAGTCATAGGTGAAACCTGTATAGAGGTATTTTTACTATAAAAGCTATGATACATGCTAGTCATGTAGGATTGTTGGATCAGGAGGCTAATGGCTCTTGGGTAGTAAGTATTATTACTAGCATGTTTAGTGAACCTGAGGTATTTTGAGTATAAACAAGTGTTACAAGTAGAGGAAGGGATCCTACTAGTGTGTAAAATAGAAGTATGAGCTTGCATTGAGGCGTTCTGGTTGGTTGCCTCAGTGGGTGATGATAATTAGGGTAGGAACTAGTGTGGCTTCAAAGGGGATATAAAATATAATTAGTTCTGTGGCTGTGAATGCTCTGATTAAAAAAGTCAGTAGGGAAATCAATATAGAAATATAGAGCTTTTTTCATGGGGGTGATTCATTGGACAGGTGATATTGGCTTCTAGCAAAAACTGTAAGAGGCAGTAGACAGGCTATTAAGATTAGAAGCGGTGACGTCAGCGGGTCAGAAGAGAAAATTAATGAGAGGTTGGATGGGTTATCGCTGAATTGGTTAAAAAATAGTAGGCTGGCGAGGCTGATGAGTAGGCTGTGAATAATCATGTTGATTCAGATTATAGAATTTTTAGAGAATCATGTCATTGGTAACAGTATAATTGTTGGAATAATAATTTTTAGCATTGAAGTAAATTTAGATTTTGTACGTAATCCAGGCCATATGTGTTGGAGATTGAAACTAGTAAGGCAAAGCCCACTGCAGCTTCGCAGGGAGCAAATACTAGGAGGATGATGGGGATTATGGGTGCTAGAGTGAAATGTATGCTTAAAGCTGTAAGAGTATTTATGATAACTATTGATAGTATTATGCCTTCTAGGCATAACAGGGATGATACTAGGTGGGATCGATAGACTAATATCCCTAGCAGTGATATGGTGTGTGCTAATAAGGGCATTTGGTAAACATGGTCTATCATAATCTAATGAGTAAAAATCATTTATTTTGGCTTAAACTATTTACCAATTCATCCCGGTCTAATCCTTTTTGGGCTCATTCATGTCAAGCCTAGGATTAAAGTGGTAATTGTATAAGGGCTGCGCTGATTATTAGTGTCAGGTTGGTTATTTGAAGGGCTCATGGCAGGGGTAGTAGTAGAGTGATCTCTGAGTCGAAAAGGAGGAATGTGATGGCTACTAGGAAGAATTTTATGGAAAAGAGGAGGCAGGCGGAGGCTATTGGGTCAAATCTGCATTCACAGGGGCTGGATTTTTCTATATAAGTATTACGCTGTGGGAGCAATGCAATTGTTATTAGTAATAGGGCCAGTAAGGTGTTGGTTACTAGGGCTAGTGTCAGGTTGATTACTCTCTTGGATATTATTGAAACTGATTGGAAATCAATGGTATTGTTTATACTAAAAGAGTAGGATCCTCATCAGTAGACAGAGACGTGTAAGAATAGTCATACTACATCTACGAAGTGTCAAATCAGACGGCAGCTTCAAAGCCAAAGTGGTGGCTGGATGTAAAGTGGAATTTTAATTGGCGGAGAAGGCAGATAGTGAGAAATGTTGATCCAATGATAGCGTGAAGTCCGTGAAAGCCTGTGGCTGTAAAGAACGTTGAGCCGTAGTTTCCATCGGAGAGAGTAAAGAGATTGTGCAGTGAGCACAATCTCAGCTCACTGCAACCTCCGCCTTCCGGGTTCAAGCCATTCTCCTGCCTCAGCCTCCCAAGTAGCTGGGATTACAAGCAGGCACCACCATGCTGGCTAATTTTTGTATTTTTCTTAGAGATGGGGTTTCACCATATTGGCCAGGCTGGTCTCGAACTCCTGACCTCAAGTGATCTGCCTGCCTTGGCCTCCCAAAGTGCTGGGAATACAGGCGTGAGCCACTGTGCCTGGCCCTGCATTTTTTCTTTAAATGAGGTATGGAGGAGATGAGAGCCTTTTGGCTCTTTTTTTTTTTTTTTTTTTTTTGAGACTTTTTGGAGTTTCACTCTTGTTGCCCAGGCTGGAGTGCAATGGCACGATCTCGGCTCACCGCAGCCTCCGCCTTCCGGGTTCAAGCGATTCTTGTGCCTCAGCCTCCTGAGTAGCTGGGATTACAGGCATGTGCCACCACGCCCAGGTAATTTTGTATTTTTAGTAGGGACAGGGTTTCTCCATGTTGGCCAGGCTGGTCTCGAATTCCCGACCTCAGGTGATCAGCCTGCCTCTGCCTCCCAAAGTGCTGGGATTACAGGCGTAAGCCACCGTGCTGGCCGAGCCTTTTGGTTCTTAAATGCCTCAGTCTGACAGCAGGCAGGGTAGTGGTGTTGTCAAGTGGACTGATTCAAATTCAAATTCAGTCACTTAGTAGTTGTCTAACATCTGGCAAGTTACTTAATTTGAATTCAGTTTCTTTTCTTTTCTCTGTTTCTCTCTCTTTGAGACAGCATCTCTTTCTGCTGCCCAGGCTGGAGTGCAGTGGCACGATCTCAGCTCACTGCAGCCTTGACCTCCTGATCCCATGTGATCCTCCTGCCTCAGCCTCCTGAGTAGCTGTAATTACAGACATGCATTACCATGCCTGGCTAATTTTTAAATTTCTTGTAGAGATGGGGTCTTGCTCTGTTGACCAGGCTGGTCTTGAACTTCTGAGCTCCAGCAATCTGCCCTCCTCGGCCTCTCAAAGCGCTGAGATTACAGGTGTGAGACACTGCACCCAGCCTAAACTCAGCTTCCTCATATTTATATGAGGAACCTACATCTACCAAATGAGGATAAAGAATATCACAATGCAATTTGTAAAGATTTAAAAACTCCTGGCTGGGCACAGTTGCTCACACCTGTAATCCTAGCACTTTGGGAGGCCGAGACAGGCAGATCACCTGAGGTCAGGAGTTTGAGACCGGCCTGGCCAACATGGTGAAACCCCATCTCTACTAAAAATACAAAAATTAGCCAGACATGGTGGTGTGTGCCTGTAATCCCAGCTACTTGAGAGGCTGAGGCAGGAGAATCGCTTGAAACCGGGGGGTGGAGGTTGCAATGAGCCGAGATTGTGCCACTGCACTCCAGCCTGACAGAGCAAGACTCTGTCTCCAAAAAAAAAAAAAAAAAAAAAAGAAGTTAACTCTTTTGCTTAAGACCTGGCACATGATGTTCGCACTCAACAAATATTGGTTCCCCCGCCCCCCTTTCCTTGGTTACTATTTCAGTCTTCTAAGGGTTCATTCACACCCCTAAGGAGAAGCACTTAATGTCAAGAAAGGACTAGTAGTAACTTTCATGCATTTATTCAGATAATACCTTCTGATTGCCATCATGTGCCAGATGATATGTTAGGTACTGGGAATGAGTAAAACCATATAAACCAAATGGTATCCAAGATAGGTGTCAATCAGTTTAGAAAGTTTTTTGTGCTAGGGTTAAGAACACACCCATGACACAGCCTCAGGAGCTCCTGACAACATATGCCCAAGGTGGTCGGGGCACAGCTTGATTTTATATATTTTAGGGAGACATGAGACATCAATCAATATATGTCAGATGTACATTGGTTCAGTCCAGAAAGGCAAGACAACTCAAAGTGGGGAGGGGCCTTCCAGGTCCTAGGTAGATAAGAGACAAACTGTTGCATGCTTTTGAGTTTCTGATTAGCCTTTCATTGAATAAACAGTTTACAGCAGTGGTCCCTTACCCCCAGGCCGCGGACCAGTATGGGTCTGTGGCCTGTTAGGAAGCAGGAGGTGAGCAGCCAGTGAGTATTACCGCCTGAGCTCCACCTCCTGCTAGACCTGTGGTGGCATGAGATTCTCATAGGAGGGTGAACCCTATTGTGAACGGTGCATGGGAGAGATCTAGATTGCTCCTTATGAGAATCTAACTAATGCCTGATGATCCAAGGTGGAGCAGTTTCCTCTGAAACCATCCCGCCCACCCCACATCTGTGGAAAAAATGTCTTCCACAAAACCAGCCCCTGGTGCCAAAAAGGTTTGGGACTGCTGATTTACAGGACTAGTCACTTATGCCTTAGTCTGGCTTAGTGAAACAATAGGGCAGAGCAAGCAAATCAGATGTGCATTTGTCTCACATGAGCAGAGGGATGACTTTGACTTCTGCCTGTCCTTTGTCTGCAAGGAATTTCCTCATGGGCAAATTGTGAGGGAGTGCGGGGCTTGCGGGGGTGGTGGTGGTGGAGGGTGGGGTGGGTATGTAGCTATCTTACTTAGGAATAGAGTGGGAGGCAGGTTTGCCCAAGGCAGTTCCCAGCTTGACCCTTCCCTCTGGCTTAGTGATTTCGGGGAGATTTCTTTTCCTTTCACACCTAGAACCCCGGCTCTCAGAGGGTTTATGGCATTGTGGGGGAGACAGATCTTCCTTGAGTCATCACTTACACAAGTGTACAACTGCAACCATGACACGGGTCTCAAAGGAGAGCCTCGCAGTGAATAAGAACCTAGAGATAGATTTGACCTCGTCAGAGAGGTCAGAGAAGGCTTGAGTCTTCAGTGATGCTTGAGTCAAGATCTACCAAATAAGTCCATCTGGCAAAGAGAGGAGGGAAGAGTGTGCCAGGCAGAGGAAGCTGCAGGTGCAAAGGCCTTGTGGCAGCAGGGAGCATGGCTAGTAGGTGGGTTTGAATCATGACCAGCGTGGATGGAGTACAGGGTTTTCAGGGGGAGTGAGGTGTGAAAGTGACGCTGGAGAGTAAGTAGGAGTCAGGGCAGGCAGGGCCTTGGAGGCCACCCTGGGTCACTAGTGAATCTTTGAAGTAAGTGGCTACAATACCAGCATGCGGTTAATGATTGTATGTGGGTTTGAACATTTACAAGTTAGTAAATTATGTATAGCTGAAACTGAAGCAAGTTGTGAGGGTTTTCCTAGAAACCAGATGGAATGCAGGATGGTACTAGTGTGTCCCTGTTTTGTCCACACATCAACAAAAGCATTAAAACTGGGCAGACGCCCAGCTCATCCTCCACCTCTGCTGCTCTGGGCCTACATCCTGGGGACGGCGGAGCAGTGCGCCACCCAGGAGATGTGGCTGGAAGCTGGGGAGTAGAGGGCATCCTCTGATCTTTCATGAAAACAGCCCATGGCAGTGCACGGTGGCTCCCACCTGTAATCCCAGTGCTTGGGAGGCAGAGGTGGGAGGATTGCTTGAGCCCAGGAGTTCGAGACTAACCCAGGCAACATAGTGAGACCCTGTCTCTACAAAAAAATAAAAAAAAGTTAGCCTGGCATGGTGGCATGCACCTGTAGTCCCAGCTACTCAGGAGGCTGAGGCTGGAGGATTGCTTGAGCCCAGGAGCTCGAGGCTGCAGTGAGCTGTGATGGCGTCACTGCACTCTGGCCTGCACAACAGGGCGAGATCCCATCTCAAGAAACAAAAAACAAAAAACAAAAAAAACCCGCCCATGATCTGGCGTCTTACCCCCCGAAGAGCTGAGGAGATGTAAGTGTGAATAATTCTGTCTAATGGATTGCTATCATCCACGTTCTTCTCAGTGTTAAGAACAGAGGTCCCAATCCAGACCCCAAGAGAGGGTTCTTGGATCTCATGCAAGAGAGAATTCAGGGCCAGTCCACAGTGCAAAGTGAAATAAACTTGCTTTATTAAGAAAGTAAAGGAATAAGAGAATGGCTACTCCATAGACAGAGCAGCCCCGAGGGCTGCTGGTTGCCCATTTTTATGGTTATTTCTTGAGTATATGCTAAACAAGGGGTGGATTATTCATGCTTCCCCTTTTTAGACCATATAGGGTAACTTCCTGATGTTGCCATGGCATTTGTAAACTGTCACGGTGCTGACGGCAGTGTAGCACTGAGGACAACCAGAGAGGTCACTCTTGCGGCCGTCTTGGCTTTGCTAGGATTTAGCCAGCTTCTTTACTGCAAACTGTTTTATCAGCAAGGTCTTTACAACCTGTATTTTGTGCTGACCTCCTATCTCATCCTGTGACTTAGAATGCCTTAACCGCCTGGGAATGCAGCCCAGTAGGTTTCAGCCTCATTTTACCCAGCCCCTATTCAAGATGGAGTTTTTGGTTCACATGCCTCTGACATCAGATCAATGTTGCTTGTTATTACTCTTATTATTGTCATCTCAAATCTGAAGAGTCACCAGAACAAACTTCCTTCTGCCCTTTGGTTTGCTCCCTCCCCTGGCTCCCAGCAGCAGGGGGGCTGCTGACAATTCACAGATTAGTAGTTGACTTCCATGGGGGCTGGAGCTCAGGATCAGAGGCAAGCCCTTTTGACTCATGGTCGTGGGGTCCCAGCGTGAAGCTGCTCTGTGATTGCCCTGGAACTCAACATGTCAGAGCTGCCACAGGGAGATGGCAGAGGCTGCTTGGTAGCTGAGAACAAGGGAGACGCCCTGGGAGATGCTCAGAAACAATCCGAGGTTCAGAAGCAGGGCCAGAGCCCCCAGGGATGTGAGCAGAGTGGAAGGAGCAAGGCATGGCCATCAGTATTCCGGCCCCAGTGTATTAATACCTACGGGCTGGGCGACCTGGGCATCTGAGCTTGCATTCAGAGGTGTCATAGGAGAGCCCCCTGGGGCCTGTGCTGCGGCTCCCTCCCCAACGGTGGTGTCTGATGATAGGGTTTTGCAGCAGGCTATCTCCTCCATCCATTCCTGATGGTCAGAAGGCAGGAGAGCCTGAGAGGACAACATCTCTGCCATCAAGTGGGAACTCGCAGTGGGATTCCTCACTGTCTTCCCAAAAGACACAATTTCCACAGCATTTGCGCATCTTGTTCACAGGGCCCTACCTGTGTGGTGCTGATGGCTTATTCTCCATCCAGATAGCCGAGGATCGTAGTTTGTATTTTAAAATGATGTCAAGCATGCTCTTAAAATGCCCCACTAGCGATGTTAGTTATCATTAATGTAATGTTAATGATATCCAAAGAGGAGTAAAAATTTGAGCAAAGTGCCAAAAAAGTAGGATTCTTGATTGCTAGTCACAAAGCCCAACTTTTTATTGAAGTATAACATACACACAGAAAAGTGCCCAGATCAAAAGTGTACAGCTCCAAGAATGTTCACAAACGGAAAGCACCCAGGTAACCGGCAACCAGATCAAGAAACAGAACACCCCAGAAGCACCACCTCATGCCCGCTTCTGGTTACTGTCTTCTTAGGACTGATCTCTACTTGCAACCGCATGGATGAATTTTGCTGGGTTTTAAACTTTATATAAATGGAATCCTATGGTGCATTTTTGCCTTATCTCGTTCAACACTAGGGTTGGTGAATACACTCCAAGTTGGGGGTGGAGTTGCAGCTCATTCCCATTGCAGTCTGGGATTCCATCGTGTGAATATACCCTAATGTGCTTATCCAGCCAACATGGGCATTGGGGTGCTTTCCTGTTCGGGGTTATTATGGAGAGTGTTTTTGTGAAGATTTAGAGCATGTCTCTGGATGAACACATGTACACATTTCTGTAGGGTATACACCTAGGGGTGGAATTGTTAGGTCATATATATTTACATCCAACTCAAGCTCTTTCATGAAAGAAGAAAGAATGTACTGGATGGAGTTTGCTGGCTCAAAGAATTGACAGAAAACTAGAAGGGAGGTCTGTAGGAAGATAGGTGGAGGCGGAGACAGCTCAGCGAGTCCAAGGAGTGGAGCAGAAATGACATTCCCAGGACGCTGCCATCCCTGGACATTGCTACCAGTGGACACACCATCCCTGCAGCCTGCCAGCCCTACCCACCTGCCTTGCTGTATGACTACCAACCCCGGACCACGGTGGCTTCCTTGAAATGAGTCTCAGCATCCCTTCATTTGTGTCACATTCTCCAGGCTCATAGCCCCAAGCAAGGGTCCAGGTAGTCCACCCCAGGTCAATGACCACTTCCCGACTGGTATGGGGCTGGAAGCGGGGTGTGCCTGAGAGACAGGAAATACTTCCCTTCTTCAGCTTCCACGGTGGGTACTGCACACCACTAAGTTTATATCTAAGGCATGATGTCCCTGCTGTAGGAAGGGAGGGGAGATGCTGGACAGTTAAGCTGAAAACACAAAAATGACAACTGTCCCCACAGCTGCACTCCACAATGCAAGCAGGCTTTATTCCATTCATCTTCCACTGACAGAGTGGGGGAGCTCAGTGACATGTCTGTGGATCTCACAGCTCATGTGCAGAAATCTCCATCTAAGAAGAGGGAACTAGGCCAGGCGCGGTGGCTCATGCCTGTAATCCCAGCACTTTGGGAGGCCAAGGCGGGCGGATCACTTGAGGTCTGGGCTTCAAGACCAGCGTGGCCAACATGGTGAAACTCCGTCTCTACTAAAAATACAAAAATTAGCCGGGTGTGGTGGCGGGCGCCTGCAATCCCAGCTCCTCGTGAGGTTGAGGCACAAGAATCGCTTGAACCCAGGAGGCAGAGGTTGCAGTGAGCCAAGATTGCGCTACTGCACTCCAGCCTGGACGACAGAAAGAGACTCTGTCTCAAAAACAAAAACAAAAACAAAAAAAGAAGAGGCAGCTGGATTCAGGATCACTCTAGGAAGGGTGACCCGTCCCCAAATGCCATAGGTCTGGAAGAGGTGCAGTAAAAGGACAGAAAAGCATCTCACAGGGGAAGGTAAGGAAGAGAGGAGGAAAAGGAAAAGGAGAGAGAACAAAACGGAGGCTGAATCTGGAGGGACGGGGCATGTAAAAACAACAGGGAGAAGGTTTGGTGGAAGAGGAAAGCAGCATTTTTCTGACCTGATTTTGATGCTCTCTGTACGGCCCCGCTTTCTCGGCTTCTCTGATGTGCCTTTATGACTTGTGCTTCGCTTCATCGGGTTAATGATGTTGACGTGAAGCACAGAATAAAGAGATCCTGGTCATAACTGCACTATCAAAGGATCTGAGGTCCTAGCGTCACATCCAGCATACAATTCTGCTCTAGTTTGAGCATCTTAACAACACTGGTATTATTAGTGAGCTGATAATGAAACTAAGAATGAGTTTTAACAAAAGAAGCAAGGAACAAAGATGTCCTAAATCCATTTACGAGGGCAGCAAGTCATTAATTGGTCTGGAAATTACATTTGCCTCTTTGCAGGCAATTTTATGCCTCCAACGGAACCATGGTCTCTTTGAAGTCATCCATTCTTCCCTATATTATACCACGGCATTTAGTACATTTATTTGTTTTAAATGATAATCAGAGCTTTCATCTATGTAGCATCTCTGTTTCCTCCCAGACAGAAAGGCAGGATAATTACCATTAAACCCAATTTGCAGGTTAGAACATTTCAGGCACAAATGGCCTGTTCTCTATCACACAGCAAGTCTCTTTCAGAACTAGGGAGAGAGGCAGTTTCCAAATAAACAGAATAGAACAAACTTACACAAAGAGCTCTGCTCCCACTGTGTATTCTCCTCTTTCATCGGGATCATATGAGTTTGGTTTAGGTAGGACCTTCAGGTTGATCTTAGACAATCCAAGAGCTAATTCATCGATGTCTAGCCTTTCCTTGGGGCATCCATGAATCACCTTCCTTAAACTACCAGAATACGGCTTCCTCCTGGAGAATGTGGGAAGTGAAGTGTGCCACGGGTTACTGCAACAAAGGTGTTTGCTTCACGGTGTGCAGTTATGATAGTTTGTGGGTCTCCCTACCTGCAAACAGGTAGACCTGGAAGGTAGCACAGTTCAGGGGGCTAAGGGAACTCTGGGGCCGGGCTGCCTGCCCTCAAATCCCAGTTTTTCTGCTTACCATGTGTAACCTTGGGCAAACTACATAAACGCTTTGTGCCTCAGTTTCCCCTCACTCTAAGACATACGGCCGGGTGCACTGGCTCACACCTGCAATCCCAGCACTTTGGGAGGCCAAGGTGGGCAGATCACTCGAGGCCAGTAGTTGGAGACCAGCCTGGCCGACATGGTGAAACCCCGTCTCTACTAAAAATACAAAAATGAGCCAGGCATGTTGGCGTGTGCTTGTCATCCCAGCTACTAGGGAGGCTGAGACATGAGGATCACTTGAACCTGCGAGTGGAGGTTGCGGTGAGCTGAGATTGTGCCATTGCATTCCAGCCCGGGCGACAGAGCAAGACTCTGTCTCAAAAAGATAAATAAATAAAATAAAACAGACATGCACTTATGGTATTTATTGTTGGAAGATTGAGTACCTTAATGCACACCAATGCTCAGATGACTTGGGGGCACATAGGGGACTGCTGTCACCATGCCTCACTCCTGCAGGGAAGGGGCTGCCCTACTAAAACCCCAGCGGGCCCAGTGCTGTGTCCAGAACAGGTCCTTATATTACTGCAGCCCACAATGGAACTACTGAGTAGGAGCCAAAAGAGGAGGGAGCAGGAAGAGGTGGCATTTGGAGAGGGGAGACCGCACCCACAGGTCTGCCACAGCGCGTCAACGGTATGGGGTACTTTTACAGTCAAGTTGACTTCGGTGTCCGCCCACCATCTACCTTTGTAGGACCACTGAAACAAGGGACATCCACCACGGCCCACAGCCGGGGCGCCACGGCCCCAGGAGGATATGCTAAGAAAACCATTCCACGGCCGGGTGTGGTGGCTCACGCCTGTAATCCCAGCGCTTTGGGAGGCCGAGGCGGGTGGATCACGAGGTCAGGAGTTTGAGACCAGCCTGACCAACATGGTGAAACCCCGTCTTTACTAAAAATACAAAAAATTAGCTGGGTGTGGTGGCGCGTGCCTATGATCCCAGCTACTCAGGAGGCTGAGGCAGGAGAATCGCTTGAACCCAGGAGGTGGAGGTCGCAGTGAGCTGAGGTCACGCCATTGCACTCCAGCCTGGGTGACAGAGCGAGACTCCATCTCAAAACAACAACAACAACAAAAAAAAAACAAAAGAAAACCATTCCAATCCTGTGGGTTGTTGTCTTTTTACTAGGATGATGGAAATGCAGGAAATACAGAACCTCTGCAGCTGCTTTCTCCAGGAAAGGAGATGAAAACGTTATATGTTTCAGTTGGTCAAAATGCTCTAATTTGATACTGAATATTGCAAATAAGGGATATTTAGGCATAGTTTTTTTTTTAAAATAAATTATCCACTGAAATGTATTAATATGATATAAACTTGGAAACTGATGTTTAAAAATTTTAAACTCTTAAGTCCAGACTTACTTTTACATGGCACATTTGTTATTTGGCTATAAACATTTTGATTTTCTTTGCCAATAATGAAAATAACATGAAAATGAAAAGGAAAAAAATGAAATTGAATGCCACGAAGAAAACAGATGGAAACATAAGACAAGCCCCGGCCACTGTTGGCTGGGCAGGGATGGGTGTTGGTCTCACTCCCTAAGGCTTAGAGCATGCATGGTCTCTACAGGGGACTTTGAAGGTCAGAAAAGGAGGCGTTTTCATCACACACGGAGTTAGAGAATGGTACAAAAGAACTTCTTCTCGCGAAAGGGGTTTTCTGATGCAGGCACTGGAATGATGAGAGGATCTTCCCGCACGTGAGCTTCACAGTAGGCCAGGAGGTCCGCAGCTGCCTGGGAGACCTGTGAGGGCACAGAGCACAGGTGCTCAGTTAAAGGCCCCTTTGCAGAGTGAGTCCAGGGAAGAGGTGTCCACGTACAGAGGGGACAAGCCCTAGGGTAGGCTGTATTGTGTGCACGGCCTACAACATGGTCATGCCCAGGCTGGAGGGAGGGTTTGTGCAGATCTAGGAGACTGGTTCGAAGCGGGCCTCCAAGAAGGGGAGGCTGCCCTCGCATGGCAGGCCAGCATGGAGACAGGACTGAGGGCTGGCAGGAGGCCCAGACAGCCTTGATATATTCTCGAGTAGGTGAGGAGTGGAGGTTCCAGGACAGTAGTCTCACAATGACTTTGCTAAACCGTTTCTGGAAGACTAAAGCAGAAGGCAGCCCCTGGCCAAGCCAGTGTGATCATATTTATTATCATTATTAGTTGTTTTATTGCAATCCACTCTTGTGACCAACACAGAGAGACACTTCATCCTCCTCAACAGAACTTGTATTTAGCTATATTTTATAAGCACACGTTTTATTTTTATTCATTTTTCATTTTTATTTCTTTTTTTGAGGCAGAGTCTCGCTCTGTTGCCCAGGCTAGAGTGTGGTGGCGTGATCTCCGCTCACTGCAACCTCCATCTCCTGGGTTCAAGTGATGCTCCTGCCTCAGTCTCCCAAGTAGCTGAGATTACAGGCACTCACCATGCCCAGCTAATTTTTGTATTTTTAGTAGAGATGGGGTTTCACTATGTTGGCCAGGCTGGTCTCAAACTCCTGACCTCAGGTGATCTGCCCACCTCGGCTTCCCAAAGTGCTGGGATTACAGGCATGAGCCACCGTGCCCAGCCAGCACACATGTTTTAACTTGGAGTGGCCACTTCCCTGCGGAGAGAGGTGCTCCTGACCAGAAAGTTCTTTCCATTCCATTTCTTTCCAGGCTTATCTGAAGCCTGCTGGCGCATGGCAGTTGTGCATCAAACTGTCCCCAAGCTCAAGGCCAGAGGAAGAGCAGGTTGGGAGAGGGCGGGGTGCGGACAAGCATTTGCTAAGAGGGAGAGGCAGTTACCAGCTTATTTTGTTCATGGTCTGTGTCATGTGCTTGGCAGATAAATGGCCTGTGCATTAACTCATCCTGCCAATTAGGCTGTTCTGCCTGCGAGTATTTATTAGCGGATTACAGGCAGGGGTAAATACATAGCAGTCAAATGAAATCCTTTTAGTACATTCAATGTCTAAATCTTCCCCAGAATGATAAAAATGTTCCACAGATGAAGAAAAAAAATGTTTAGAAGCCTCCAGCTACACAGGCCATACACATTCCCTTCTGGGTTTTAAAAATTGGCTCATCTTTCAGCATTTTACAGAGATTCTTCTGATTTTCAGACCTAACCGCTTTAGCAATGGCTAGAAATAATTCCAGCAGAGATATACAATGAATCAACTAAACACATCACTCAAATAAATCAACTTGAAGTTTAGCAGATGAGTTAGTCTAAATCCTGACAAAACCTACATTTGTTAAGAATGTGGCATGGAGAAATGAGTTCCGGTGAACATCAGGCTTCTAGATCTACCCCCGCCCGTAAGCTAGCTGTGTGACCTTGGGTAAGCAGCTCAACCTTTCTGAGCTTCACTTCCCTCATTTGTAAAATTCAGGAGCGTTGGAGAGCTCTAAGGTCCCAATTTACTCTAAGACGTCTATGATTCTACCTTTAATAGCATGGTCAGTATTTAAGATCCTAAAAACGTGTATGTTGAGTTGAATAGGAGTGTTTGAAGTTTGCAGTGGGTTACAGGACGCCCATATAGGAATTTCCCAGATGGGTGAGGCTCAGGGGAAAACTGAGCCTGTGGGGGGCCTGTGAAGCCATCACAAGGAGCAGGAGCACAGGCTTAAGGAAATGGACTCTGAGGCCCACAGGGCTGCGATGGACACACAAGAGAATGGAATCACATGGTGAGTGCTGCAACTCAAAGCCGGTGGACTTGGGAGATTGAGCCCTCCCTTGCTGCCACCTTCTAAGGAAAGCCAAGTGCCCTCCCCAACTGCTGGAGTGATGACCTCCTTAGTTTCCACTCCTGGCTTCTCACCATGCCCAGAGATGCAGAAGCTGCTGAGGTCTGGGGTCTCCCTCATGGCCACCATGTTAGGACAGCCACTAAATTCATCCATTGACCCCTCTGGCAACCCCTGGGCAGTGGTCTTCACTGCTGCCTGGGCAGCACACACAAGGGCTGCAGTGTTGGAACAACCACATTCCTCCTCTAGGAGCCACTGTCCTCTTGGGTTTGCTAAGTCTAGGCCCCTGACTCCAGTGAGCTCTTCTGGGAGTTCCGTTTAAGAATGGCTCGGCTGGACGCAGTGGCTCACACCTGTAATCCCAGCACTTTGGGAGGCCAAGGCGGGTGGATCGCCTGAGGTCAGGAGTTCAAGACCAGCCTGGCCAACATGGTGAAACCCCGTCTCTACAAAAAATACAAAAAATTAGCCAGGCGTGGTGGCGGGTGCCTGTAATCCCAGCTACTCAGGAGGCTGAGGCAGGAGAATCGCTTGAACTCGGGAGTTGGAAGTTGCAATGAGCTGAGATTGTGCCACTGCACTCCAGTCTGGGCAACAAGAGTGAAACTCCATCTCAAAAAAAAAAAAAAAAAAAAAGAACGTCTCGTCTGACTATCATGCCCTCTCCAGTTTTCTAGTTTTCACTTTTCCCATCTACTTCATTTTTTTTGGACATGCTCCAGTTTCATCTGAATTCTCTATAATCCTCGTTATGTCATTCAGAAAGGAAGTATTCACTATCTACCCTTTAGCTAATTCAGAGGATGCAAGAGAAAGAATAAGGCAACAGTTTTGCCCTCTAGAAGATCTCACTGTGATCTCAAACATGATGAAGTCACTATAATAATCCATGTGTGCTGAAATGTCACAAAAGAACACTTGCACGCCACTGTGGATCCATGATGAGAGGCCAGGAGACGGGGCATCTGACAACCTGTCCAGTCCCAGACAGTAGAGGACACCTTGGTGAATCTGCCCCCTTTCTTCAGAGGGCAATCACTGGACTTCTGGGCCCAGAAACACAATTTCCTGGCACACTCAGAATAGATCATCTCTTGTGGCTGACCCATATTAAACAAGCTCAGGAGGCAGCTGGATAAAACCATAATACAAATAGAAGCTAACATTTACATTTACTGAGTGCTTCTCAGGTGCCAGCACTATGCTACATGCATCAGATGTATTATGTCATTTAATTCTTCTTATACGTACGACTCTAGCCTGGGCAACATAACAAGACTCTACCATAAAATGAAAAAATTAGCCAGGCATGATAGTGCACACCGGCAGTCCCAGCTACTTGGGAGGCTGAGGCAGGGACATCGCTTGAGTCCGGGAGTTCAAGGCTGCAGTGAGCTGTGATCGCACCACTGCACACCAGCCTGGGTGGCAGAGCAAGACCCTGTCTCTAAAAAAAAAAAAAAAAAGTAGAATTCCTTATTTATAATTGACAAATAAAAATGGAATATATTTATGGTGTACAACATGATGTTTTGATACGTGTATACATTATAGAATGGCTAAATCAAGCTAACTGACATATCTATTACCTCACATACTTTTTTTGTGGTTAAAAACATAAAATTTACTCTTTTAGCAATTTTCTTTTTTCTTTTGAGATGGAGTCTCACTCTGCCATCCAGACTGGAGTGCAGTAGGGCGATCTCAGCTCACTGTAACCTCTGCCTCCTGGTTTCAAACAGTTTTCCTGCCTCAGCCTTCTAGTAGCTGGGGTTACAGGCTCCTGCCACCATGCCTGGCTAATTTTTAAATTTTTGGTAGAGATGGGGTTTCTCCATGTTGGCCGGGCTGGTCTCGAACTCCTGACCTCAGGTGATCTGCCCGCCTCGGCCTCTCAAAGTGCTGGGATTACAGGCATGAGCCTCTGAGTCTGGCAAGCAATTTTCAAGTACACATGATAAGTATTATCTTAAAGCCACTTTACAGATGAGGAAACTGAGGCACAAAGGTTAAGAAGGTCACCCATCTATTAAGAGAGGAAACCAGGGCCGGGCACGGTGGCTCACGGACTGTAATCCCAGCACTTTGGGGGGCCGAGGCAGGCAGATCACAAAATCAGGAGCTCAAGAACATCCTGGCCAACATGGTGAAACCCCGTCTCTACTAAAAATACAAAATTTAGCTGGGCGTGGTGGCCCATGCCTGTAATCCCAGCTACTCGGGAGGCTGAGGCAGGAGAATTGCTTGAACCAGGGAGTCAGAGGTTGCAGTGAGCTGAGGTCGCGCCACTGCACTCCAGCCTGGCGACAGAGTGAGACTCTGTCTCAAAAAAAAAAAAAAAAAAAAAAGAGACAGCCAGAATTTGAAGCTAAGCTGTACTGTACTACAGCCGTCCCCAACGTTTTCGGCACGAGGGAGTGGTTTCGTGGAAGACAGTTTTTCCATGAACTGGGGGTGGGGGGATGGTTTCAGGAGGATTCAAGTGCATTAGATTTATCGTACACTTTATTTCTGTTATTATTACATTGTAATACATAATGAAATAATTATATACAATTCACCATAATGCAGAATCAATGGGAGGCCTGAGCTTGTTTTTCTGCAACTAGATGGTCCCATTTGGAGGTGATGGGAGACAGTGACAGATAATCAGACACAGGATTCTCATAAGGAGCTTGCAACCTAGATCCCTCACACGCGCAGTTCACAATTGGGTTTGTGCTCCTGTAAGAATCTAATGCCGCTGCTGATCTCACAGGAGGCAGAGCTCAAGCGGTAATGCAACCAATGGGGAGCACCTGTAAATACAGATGAAGCTTTGCTTGCTCACCCGCTGCTCACTTCCTGCTGTGCGGCCCGGTTCCTAACAGGCCACAGACTGGTACTGGTCCATGGCCCGGCGGTTGGGGACCCGTTTTATACTACACAGAATCTACACTCGATACAGAATCTATAATCTACACTGTATACAGAATCTATACTCAGCCGCTATACTACAGCAGCTGCTTTGTTAATTGACAATGAGACCCGTAATTCTCAAGTGGCCTGGAACATTCTCACCTGCCCATCCATCCAGTGCACACGAGGAGAGATCCTTGTGGTTCAACTACCTGGGAGCTCACAGGACCAGAAGAAGGAGAGTCTCCCACCTAGAGTGTCTTAGGTCATTTCGTTTAACCTAGAGACAGGAGGTGTCCTCAGCTGGGACTCACCCCCTTTCCCCCCGGCCCTGAGAAGTACAGGATGGACACAGCCACTGTGGTCTCCAAGACACCCCTTCCTCTAGGCTGTGACCCGCCAATCCCCTTCTGTCTACACATACAATCCAGCTGGTCAGAAGTTGGCTGGCTAAACTGTCACGATAGCTCTCTTCCCATTGATCAGTTTACCTGTCCCGGTGGTTATCAACATCCATCATGGGCCAGTTCGACTCTTTTAATTCTCTAGGAGCAACCTCAAGGGGGCGCCTCACTGGGGAAGCTGCACTATCAACCAGTACATCCTGTACATCATGACCAAGCATTAAAGGAGTGGGCTCAAAAAATGTCGGGGCTTCGGGGGACAGCTCAGTCGAGGAGAAGTCAGGTTGGGCCCATGTTCCACTCCATAGCAGAGTAACTTCTTCCCTTACAGCCCAGTGTCTGCAACACCCTAACAATTATGCTATTAATGGTCTGGCCTTGCCAGGTCTAAGCAGGTCTCACCTAGGAATTTTTCTCTCACCTCCCAAAGGTGATACTGTACCTGATGCCACAATTTTTCTTGCAAGAAAACGAGTTGTTCTTAGATTGCCTCCTTTTGTTGCTTTAAGATCACAGTTGCGTTTGCTGAGTTATAACCACTCCTCTGGCTTGCTGAGTCCTGTCTGTGCACCCATACAACAGGAATGCACACACAATGAAGCCAGTATTACTGCCGATCAAGAAGTGCTCAGTTTAAGCCCGAATGTGTGGATCTGGGTTGGTTCCGTGAAACATTAATTTCCTAGGTGCACTCAGAATTACTGAAATGTAACACTGTGAAGAATGGCCCACTTACGCACAGCTGCATCTAATACAGCATAAGTCATCTTACAGCAAAATAGTCAAGGGAGTTTTCCACCTTCATCACCCCGTCTTTTCACATAGCGTCCAGAGTCCTATATAACCTTTATAACCAAAGTATCTTGGGTAACCCCTGAAGTTTATTGTTAATGTGATCTGAAAAGATAAATATAGGTAATGACCGTCTAAATGAGCCTGACACATGAAAGGTGGCGTCCCAACAAATAGCTCAGTATCCAGGTATTAATTAACCTGAGTCTGCTCCTTCCGCTGAGAGGGAGAGTTTTCTTAATCAGCCCTAGATTGATGTTTATGGTTGGAGGTTTCCTTCAACACGTACCAAATAGGGGTTGCAGACAACGCCAGATCCCATTAAACATCTGCCATCTTTGGAACATAAAGTAGACAATTTGCTTTCAAAGAGAAAATCTTATTCTGGTAGAAAATTGCAAATTCCTTTACTGTGTATCCTTTCTCATCAAGCCTGAATTCGGCTTTCCCTCAAGTTCACTGTGATGAAATGCCTGGAGCATCTCTGTGCCTCCCCGTCTTAGTATTGAACTGTTAGAGTTACAAGACAACAGATGTTGAAAAGAATTGGTAGCTTGGGAACAACTGTGGAATTTTACCATCACATTTCAGAGTAAAAGAGGTGATTAAGGCAGCCCAAGTTAGCACGTAATCCTGTTAGTTGCACTATAATTACAAGCTTCAATGATGGGAGAAAATGCCGCAATTACTATAGTCACATTCCATGACAAGACAGATGACATAATTATTATTGTGGCTGTGACACCCACTGCATTTATCCTTTGCATCTGAAGTAGACAGACCCACACCTATTTCTAAGCAACGCTGGTCTATTTAACAGTACTACTGGGAATCAAAAGCATCTTGGTTGGCTTTGCCTGTTTCTCCTACTCCAAGAAAACAAAGCAGGATTACAGTTAATGGTACAGCCAGGTTGCAGCCAGCATGGTGTAACGGTATATTTTACAAGGTCTATAATGGTATATTTTTACACGGTGAAATTTGGTGCACACTCCACTAGAAGATATCATATACTGCTTATCCTCAGTGGGATCCTGGGGACATTACAGGTATATACCTCACCTTTAAATTCTCAGAAAGCACTGCAGGGTGAACTCTTGTGCTTTTTTTTTTCTCCTAACATTGGGAAGTATTTGAGACCCACACACCAGTTCCTAAGGGCAGTCTCTAGATACTTTCATATTATGGCTTTCAGAGGATCCCAGTAACTACTTCGTACTATTCCTGGTCAGTGTGGGCAATTCTTACTTGTTGGCGGATGGCCTGTGTGGGGAGAGGCTTCCGCCCTGTGGGTGGGTCCTAGGCCACAGGCAACATCAAGCTTAGAGTGGGTTAGGTTATACCTGAAGGTGGAAACCAGAGAGAGGAGGGTGGGTGATATGTGTGAATAAAAGAATAATTCAACAGAGTCCGTCTCTGAACCCTTAAGTCAAATGTCCATAGCAGCAGACTAGCCACTGTTAACTACTTTCAGCATAGGCTTTTTTTCCACATCAAAAGTTGATTGCACATTGGGAGCTAAATCTAAGATGCTTGAAAGAGAGTTGTAATATCACCAAATTAACTTAAGTAAGAGTTGTTCTGACATGGCCTTCAGCACAGGAATATCAAAGCCCTCACTTGTTTAGAATATGATTGACCTAGATCCACCCTGGACCTTGACTTAACCAAGCCCGTTCAACAGGTCAGTGTTTGTCCCATCTGACTGACTATCTCTCAGTTTTGATATTTCCCAAATTTCCAAAAAGAAATCCATAATTCCATCACTTTGCAAGTTTGCCATGCTGGATAAGATGGACACTCCAGGCACTCAGCTTTGACTCCTGTAAACGAGAACGGCAACACCTGCTGGTTTGTGGCTAAATGGATGCCATCATATATTGCCGTGGTTTGAAAGTGCTGTCTCCCAAAAGCATGTTCTGGAAACAATGCGAGCATGTTAGGAGGTGAGGCCTAATGAGAAGTTATTAGGTGATGAGGGCTCTGTTCTCATGAATGGATTAATGCTGTTATCATGGGAATGGGCTCCTTATAAAAGGATGGGTTTGGCCCCTTTTTTCTCTCTCTGCCTCTCTCCTTGCCCTTCCGCCATCTGCTGTGGGGTGACACTGCAAGTAGCCCCTCACCAGAGGTAGCCCTTTCCCAGCCCCCAGAACTATGAGTTAATAAATTTCTGTGCATCATAAATTACCCAGTCTGTGGTATTCTGTTACAGCAGCACAAGCCAACTGAAACATAAGCACATGGGGTTATTAATCCATTATTCATTTGGCTACTTTCTAGTAGGACAGAGAAGATACTTGAGAAACAGACACGAAGAAGTTTCTCAGAAATTATTAGGGCATTGGATGCCCACAATGGCCCTGACCAGATCATCCCCATGAATAGAAGAGATCCCTTTCTAAGTGCAACTTTCATTTTCTTCTTCTACTACTCATGTTCTACTCTTTCATTTAATCCGAAGCATTTTCCCCTTTTATCTGATCCCAGTTCTAGAACTGCTCATCCTAATAACCTTTCCTCAATATGGCCAGATTTTTGGATTTTAGCCATTCTAATAGGTGTGTAGTGGTATCTTATTGTTTTAATTTGTAATTCTCTAGTGACATGATGTTGAACATGTTTTCATACGCTTATTTTCCATTTGTATGTCATCTTTTGTGATGTGTCTGATCAGAAATTTTGCCCTTTTCTTTTTTCTTTTGAGACGGAGTCTCACTCTGTCGCCAGGCTGCAGTGCAGTGGCGCCATCTCGGCTCACTGCAAGCTCCACCTCACGGGTTCAAGACATTCTCCTGCCTCAGCCTCCCGAGTAGCTGGGACTACAGGCGCCTGCCACCACGGCCGGCTAATTTTTTGTATTTTTAGTAGAGACGGGGTTTCACCGTGTTAGCCAGCATGGTCTCGATCTCCTGACCTCGTGATCCGCCCACCTCGGCCTCCCAAAGTGTTGGGATTACAGGTGTGAGCCACCGCGCCCGGCCATTTTGCCCATTTTTTAATGTGGTTGGTTGTTTTCTCATTGTTGTGTTTTAAGGGTTCTCTCTCTCTTGCTCTCTTGCACGCGCTCGCGCTCTCTCTCTCTATATATATACATTTTTTTTTTCTAGACGAGTCTTGCTCTGCCACCCGGCTGGACTGCAGTGGTGCAACCTCCACCTCTGGGGTTCAAGTGATCTCCCACCTCAGCTTCCTGAGTGGCTGGGATTGCAGGCACCTGCCACCATGCCTAGCTAATTTTTGTATTTTTAGTAGAGATGGGGTTTCACCATATTGGCCAGGCTGGTTTCAAACTCCTGACCTCAGGTGATCTGCCTGCCTCAGCCTCCCAACGTGCTGGGATTACAGGCGAGAGCCACCGCACTTGGCCCTTTATATATTTTGGATACAAGTCTTTTATCAGGCATGTGTTTGACAAATATTTTCTCCCAGCGTGTGGCTTGTGTTCATTCCCTTAACAGTGCTTTTCACTGAAGTCTTAAATTTTACTGTAATCTAGCTTGTCTACTTTTTTCTTTGATGGATTGTGCTTTTGCTGTTGTATCTAAAAACTCTTTGCCAAACCCAAGGTCACTTAGATTTCCTATGTCATCTTCTAGAAGTTCTGTAGTGTACTCTTTTATATTTATGTCTATAATTTATTTTGAGTTAATTTTTATAAAATGTAAAAGGTCTGTGTCTAGATTCATTTTCTGCATGTGGATGTTCAGTTGTTCTTACAGTATTTGTTGAAAAGACTATCTTTGCTTCATGGTATTGGCTTTGCACCTTTGTCAAAGATCAGCTGGCTATATTTACATGGGTCTATTTTGGGGCTCTCTATTCTGTTCCACTGACCTACACGTCTACTCTTTCACCAATACCACATTGTCTTAATTACTGTAGTTTTATAGTAAGTCTTTCAGTCAGGTAGTGTCGGTTCTCCAACTTTGTTCTTCTCCTTCAGTATTTTATTGGCTATTCTGGGTCTTTTGGCTTTCCATATAAACTTTAAAATCATTTTGTCAATATCCACAAGATAAGATTTGCTGGGATTTTGGGGTGGGGCACAGCAGCTCATGCCTGTAATCCCAGCACTTTGGGAGGTCGAGGCAGGTGGATCACTTGAGGTCAGGAGTTCAAGACCAGCCTGGCCAATATGGCGAAACCCCATCTCTACTAAAAATACAAAAATTAGCTGCTGGGCATGGTGGGCCTGTAATCCCAACTACTCAGGAGGCTGAGGCAGGAGAGTTGCTTGAATCTGGGAGGCAGAGGTTGCAGAGAGCCAAGATGGCACCACTGCACTCCAGCTTGGGCAACAGAGCAAGGCTCTGTCTCAAGAAAAAAAAAAAGAAAAAAAAAAAAAGAAAAAAAAAAAAGAAGAAAATTTGCTGGGATTCTGATTGGGATCACATTGAATCTACAGATCAAGTTGGGAAAAACTGCTATTTTAACTATATTGAGTCTTCTTATCCATGAACATGGACTATCTCTCCATTTATTTAGATGTTTGATTTTTTCCTCAGAGTTTTGTAGTTTTCCTCATATAGATCTTGTGCATATTGAATATATCTGATATATTTTTGCCCATCTTTTTACATTCAACCTGAGTCACTTTATTTTAGGTCTATGTCTAATGCAAAATATATTCTTTTTAAAGGTTAAATCTGATAATCTAAATTAGTTTTCCCACTTAACACTTATTATTAAGATAGATGTATTTGGTATTGTTTCTGCTGTCTTATTTTGTCTTTTGAAACTTTTACATTCTCTTTTGTTTTCTGTTGATGTTCCATGGTCTTTATTTCTTGTACTCCAGTAATTAAGAAGTATAGGCCAGGCGTGATGGCTCATGCCTGTAATCCCAGCACTTTGGGAGGCTGAGGTGGGCGGGTCACTTAAGGTCAGGAGTTTGAGACCAGCCTGGCCAACATAGTGAAACCCCATCTCTACTAAAATTACAAAAATTAGCCGGGCGTAGCGGTGCGCACCTGTAGTCCCAGCTACTTGGGATTGCTTGAACCCAGAGGCAGAGGTTGCAGTGAGCAGAGATCGCCCCACGGCATTCCAGCCTGGACAACAGAGTGAAACTGTCTCAAAAAAAAAAAAAAAAAAAAAAAAAAAAAGCGTTTTATCTTTATAGCCTTAATATGTTTATAATGTTAATCAATTTCAGAAATGAAGTTATATTGATTGATTCACATCTATGAAATATGAGGAAATTGGCTATACTGGACAATTATCATGCATGTTTTCCCCCAGCAACTGAACCCCTTCTCTGGTTGGAGGAATGATCTACTTTATGAGTCCTCGTGTGGGGAAACAATTATTTCTCTTAATAGATCTGAAAATGTTAAATACTCACCTTCCCAGAATCTTGCAACTTGGCACATGTGACTTTGTTTCTGTCTATCTGACACACATGTGCCAGACTTTGGTGAATGATCTGAGGGAAAAGACATTAGGAGCTTTTGTTCTGGTGGCAGTGGTCCTGACTAGAAGGTTGAGTTCCTGGCTCAGAGTGATAGTGGTATAAACTGTAGCATGTAGTGCTGGGTGGTGATTGCAGCAGTTCCTTCCTCAGACTGTTCTGCAGTGTGGTTTTGAGTGCTGTTCCCAGAAGATGAATCTTAAGCCCACTTCTCTAGACTTTCCAGCAATTTTATAAGCTATTCAAAATCCCTTTAATAAATTCCTTTTATAATCAACCTAGATGCTTACCAACAGTGGACTGGATAAGAAAATGTAGTATATATACACCATGAAATACAATGCAGCTATAAAAATGAATGAAATTGTGTCCTTTGCAGCAGTATGAATACAGCTGGCGGCCATTATCCTAATTGAATTAATGCAGGAACAGAAAACCAAATGCCACACGTTCTCATTTATAACTGGGAGCTAAATATTGAGTACACATGGTCACAAAGATGGGAATAGGAGACACCAGGAACGAGAGACACACTACTTGAGGGGTGATGGGGGGAGGAAGGTAAGGGCTGAAAAACTACCTGTTGGGTACTATGCTGACTACCTGGGGGATGAAATCACTGGTGCACCAAACCCTACTGACATCCAATTTACCCACTTAACAAACTTGCACATGTACCCCTTGAAACTAAAATTAAAGTTGAAACTAACCAACTAACTAAATTCCTTTTATGTTTACTCAGCCAGGGTAAGCTTCTGTTATTTGTAATAAAGACTCTTGGACTGACAGGTTGCCATATTTATACTCTCCTCTCTTCTCCCTCCCCTATTTTAATGTAAGTATTTTCTAGGATTGTCATAGTCTACTACTGACAAATATTTATTTTTACATCATATAGATTTCTGAGAAGAATGATAAAAATTACATTTTTTTAAGAGTGGTCATCATAGTTATTATTATTTTTTTTAGACAGAGTCTAGCTCTGTTGCCCAGGCTGGAGTGCAGTGGCACAATCTCAGCTCACTGCAACCTCTGCCTCCCGGGTTCAAGCGATTCTTCTGCCTCAGCCCCCCGAGTAGCTGGGACCACAGGCGTGTGCCTCCACGCCCGGCTTATTTTGGTATTCTTAGTAGAGATGGGGTTTCACCATGTTGGCCAGGATGGTCTTGATCTCTTGACCTGTGATCCGCCCACCTTGGCCTCCCAAAATGCTGGGATTACAGGCGTGAGCCACAGCGCCCAGCCAGTTATTCTTAATTCTAAGTTTACATTGATTGAATAACCCTGCAACTTCTTTCCTACCATGCCATCCCCGTGTGGAAGTTATTTCGATTCAGTCAGCTGGCTGGATCCCATGTTACACACATGTATGTGCAGAGTCCAGAGGAGGCAGGAGACCACTCGGGCCATGGTGCTGGCAAGAATCCTGAACAGGAAGGTCGTCTCTGAGCAAGTCAGAGGCTAAAGAAAGAGGGTGGCAGTTGGCCCAGCGCAGTGGCATGCCTGTAATCCCAGCAATTTGGGAGGCCGAGGTGGGCGGATCACCTGAGGTCAGGAGTTCGAAACCAGCCTGGCCAACATGGTGAAACCCCATCTCTACTAAAAATACAAAAATTAGCCGGGCATGGTGGTGATGGGCGCCTGTAATCCCAACTACTCAGGAGGCTGATGCAGGAGAATCACTTGAACCCAGGAGGAGGAGGCTGCAGTGAGCCGAGATCGTGCCACTGCACTCTAGCCTGGGCTTGTGACAGAGTGAGACTCTGTTTCAAAAAACAAACAAACAAGCAACAACAACAAAAAACACAATATGGCAGTGACTAGAAGATCCCCAAAGGTCCTGGGAATAAAGAACAACCACAATGGGCTGGTGCAAGCTCTTCGTCAGGCTCCCAAGGTGAGAGAATTGCTTGAGCTCAGGAGTTGAGAGCAGTCTGGCAAACATAGCGAGACCCCCGTCTCTATTAAATTTTTTTTCAATTAGCTGGACATGGTGGTATGTGCCTACTTAGGTTTGCTTAGGTTTGACAGCTTCTCAGGGTGGAACTTTTGAAATACGAGGCAGTAGACTGCCCAGTCGTTCCTATGGAGTTCATCATCAGCCTCACAGGTGACCTAGTGTTCTTTTTGGGGCAGCTGCTGATGTTTGTGCATTCCATGAGCTGACACAGAGGGACAGAGGTCCCTTTTACCATTTGGTATCTTCAGTCAATGGAGTAAGAAAGTTGTCTGATACCCAAATCTGAAGGCTATTAAGAGTGAGAATTGAGAATCTGACTCTATCACACTGATAAAGAATTGAGCAGAATTCTAGGACTGAATATTGACCCAGAAACTATAACTTGGCAGAGAGCATTTGAATCCCAGTGATAGACTTTGGAGGCAGATCACCTTTGGAGAGTGGTGACTCACACTGATGTCTCCATGGTGAGTGAAATCGTGAGTGTTCTGTCTTTCAACAGTGCTCTAAACAGGGGTCTCCAACCCCCTGCCAGGGACCAGTACCAGTCCATGGCCTGTTAGGAAGCAGGCTGCACAGCAGGAGGTGAGCGGCCAGCGAGTGAGCATTACCGCCTGAGCTCCGCCTCCTGTCAGATCAGCGGAGGCCTTAGATTCCCATAGGAGCGTGAACCCTATTGTCAACTGCGCATGCAAGGAATCTAGCTTGCATGCTCCTTATGAGAACCTAATGCCTGATGATCTGTCACTGTCTCCCAACACCTGTCCTGTCTAGTTGCAGGAAAACAAGCTTAGGGCTTCCACTGATTCTACATTATGGTGAGTATGTAATAATAATAGCAATAAAGTGCATAATAAATGTAATGCTTGAATCATCCCCAAACCGTCCCCCATGACCTGTGGAAAAACTGTCTCCCATGAAACCAGTTCCTAGTGCCAAAAAGGGTGGGGACCGCTGCTCTAAAAGATAGGAGAGACTGAGGAAAATGGCGGTGCTATCTAATGAGAACGGGGATGCTACCAGTGCTGAAGATCTGGGTGTGAGTGGTGCCTTGACAAGTGCTATGAAGGATGCATCAAGCCCAGTCTCATACAGACTCAGAGGGAATGCTAATATTCATCTGATGGACATGAAGCCCTCTAGCACAGCAGGTCCAACAGCACGAAGACTTGTTGGTTCTGAATGCTCTATAGCGATGGAAGCTGGATTTGGAGATAACTTTGTCTTGAAAGCAGTTTTTTTAAAGTATTATTATTATTATTGAAATAAAGTCTTGCTCTGTTGCCCTGGCTGGAGTGCAGTGGTGAGATCATAACTCAAAGCAGCCTCTGTCTTCTGGGCTCAAGTGATCCTCCCACCTCAGCCTCCTAAGTAGGCACATACCACCATGTCCAGCTAATTAAAAAAAAAAAATTTAGTAGAGATGTGGTCTCGCTATGTTTCCCAGACTGGTCTCAAACTCCTGAGCTCAAGCAATTCTCCCACCTTGGCCTCCCAAAGTGCCAGGATTACAGACTTGAGCCACTGCACCCGGCATAAAAAAATGTTTAATTATAGGACTATATGTTTATACAAATATATGTGTACATATATACACATATATGTGTATTTCTATAAAACATACATGACATCAAATGCATCGTCTTAACTATTTTTAAGTATATAGTTCAGTAGTATTAAGTATTTTCACATTCTTGTGCAACTATCAGTACCATCCGTCTCCAGAACTTGCAAAACTGAAACTCTGTTTCCATTAAACAACCCTCCATTCTCTCCTTCCCCCAGGCCCTGGAGAACACCATTCTCCTGTCTGTTTCTATGAATTTGACTCCTCTAGGTACCTCATATAGGTGGAACACAATATTTTGTCTTTTTGTGCCTGGCTTATTTCTCTTAGCATAGTGTCCTCAAGGTTCATTCATGTTGTCCCACATGTCTGAGTTTCCTTCCTGTTTAAGGCTGAATAATTTTCTGTTTTAAGTATACACTACATTTTGTTTATCCATTTATCTGTTGATAGACATTTAGGTAGCTTCTATGCCTTGGCTATTGTGAATAAACTGCTATTAATATGGATGTACAGATCTCTCTTCAAGACCCTACTTCCAATTCTTTTGAGTCTATTCATAGGTGATACATGGATTGTCTCACCCGATCCCATTTCTATAATATTGATTTGGGCTCTGTGGAATCCTGATAAATAAGCAACAATGAGGAAGGGGTCCCAGGTTGGGGAGAACAATTGTTCTGAGAGACGGCTAACCACAAACAGGCCCTTGCACAACATCCTGTTCCCTCACTCTGCACGTAGCCCCAGCAGCAGGACTGTAACTGCACGAACCCCCTCCAGCATGACCCTATAAAGCTTCCTTCCAGCCCCTGCCTTTTTGGAGACAGTCCCTTTTCTGCTGTGCTGCCCGTTGCTTCCTTGCAACATACTTTCCTTCTAATAAATCTGCTTTTTTTTTTTTAAACCTATGACTGCCTTGGCAAATTCCTTTAGCACTCATGATCCCCGCTCTAGTCATCACACCTGCAACAGGCCCTGCATCAAAACAGGTGACTGAGCTGTTCCAAGTACATCAAGCCCATCCTTCAGTGCCTTCAATGCCTCCTATGACTCAGATTGTGTGTGGATCCAGCCATGTGCAAGACCCTCAGCCCCTGCTCGGGAAGACCTTTTGACTGAGCAGGCATTTTCTCAGCTTTCTTATGGTCTTAATGTATATTATCATGTGTAAATTAACATAATTATGCACATCTGTATCTCCTTTAGTGAAATTCAATGGAATAAAATAAAATAAGTTTGCTAAAGAAAAGCAGCACATATTTGCATTACATTTAAACTTCTGCATAATTGAGAATATATCTATGTTGCCATGGACATAAATGGCCACTTGGTTGGGTAGAGAATTCATTGTAGATGCTGTTTCTCCTTGGGCTGACATCTTCAGAACTGTGGGGAAGTGTTGTCCAGACTGATATTTTCCTCCTTTGTGGGTGAGGCACTGTAGTGTAATGATAGTACCCAAGGTTCTGGGTTTGTATCCTTCCTTCATCAAATGACAACTCTGGACCTCTTTTCTTTTTCTTTCCTTTTTTTTTTTCTTTTTTTCTTCTCTTTTCTTCTTTTCTTTTCTCTTTTTTGAGATGGAGTCTTGCTCTGTTGTCCAGGCTGGAGTGCAGTGGTGTGATCCCGGCTCACTGAAACCTTCTCCGCCTAGGTTCAAGCAATTCTCCTGCCTCAGCCACCCAAGTAGCTGGGACTACAGGTGCTCACCACCAAGCCCGGCTAATTTTTGTATTTTTAGTAGAGATGGAGTTTCACCATGCTGGCCAGGCTGGTCTTAAACTTCTGACCTCTTCTGATCCTCCTGCCTTGGCTTCCCAAAGTGCTGGGACAACAGGTGTGAGCCACTGCACCTGGCCTGGGCCTGTTTTCTTGTCTGTGAAATGGGGTACTGATAGCACCAACATCTCAGGGCTGGTGTGAAAATTCAAGCACCTAACACATATTAAGAATGTACCAAGGCTGGGTGTGGGGGCTCACGCCTGTAATCCTAGCACTCTGGGAGGCCAAGGCGAGTGGATTGTTTGAGCTCAGGAGTTAGAGACCGCCTGGGCAACATGGCAAAACCTAGTCTTAGCTATTTGGGAGGCTGAAGTGGGAGGATAGCTCGAGCCGGGAAGGCGGAAGCTGCAGTGAGCCAAGATCACGACACTGCACTCCAGCCTGGGTGACAGAGGGAGACCGTGTCTCAAAAAAAAAAAAAGAATGTAATCAAAGTTAGGGGTATTTGTCCTAACTGACTGCTTCTTCTGCCTATATTCTTTTTTTTTTGTTGTTTTAAGATGGAATTTTGCTCTTGTTGCCCAGGCTGGAGTGCAATGGCACGATCTTGGCTCACTAGATTCCTCATGACCTCTTTCCTTGTTTACTGAAGCAGTGTTTGAACGCCTCCCAGGTTCAAGCGATTCTCCCACCTCAGCCTCCCGAGTAGCTGGGATTACAGGCGCCCACCACTACGCCCAGCTCATTTTTGTATTTTCAGTAGACAGGGTTTTACCACATTGGCCAGGCTGGTCTCGAACTCCTGACCTCAGGTGATCCGTCCGCCTCGGCCTCCCAAAGTGCTGGGATAACAGGTGCGAGCCACTGCGCCTGGCCTCTTCTGCCTATATTCTTAATGGGCTCTTTATTATTAGTATTGCTTTTGTTTTGCTTTTTGCTATTGACTTATTTGTTGATGGAGAGATCACTCTTTCCTTTTGAGATTAAGACCCTCAGCTGTATTTGTGTCTGTGTCGATCATTTCTCTCACACTCTTTTCTGGAATACGGCAAGCAGTTTGGACCTGCAGATTCAGGTCTTCCTTTATTTAATGAAGCTGTTTTATGTTATATCCTGAAGAGTATTTTCTATTCCATTTATTCTCTCTGCCAGGAATATTCGCATACAAATGTGAGAATGCTCTTGTCAGTCTGGATTTCTATCAGCTTCTAATTGCTTCGGTCTGACACTCCATCTGTTTCTTTTGTTTCCTGTGCACCTTCCTGAGGCCTGTCTCCAGGTCATCACTGTGGCTTTCCACAGCATGTGTGCCACTCTCCACTCTTTCCAGTGGTGCTCCCACCTCCCTCCAATTCTTTCCTTAGCTTTTCCACCTCCCTTTCCAACTCGTTAGTTTCACCTCTTCTTTTTTTTTTTTTTTTTTTTGAGACGGAGTTTCACTCCGTCACTCAGGCTAGAGTGCAATGGCATGACCTTGGCTCACTGCAACCTCCGCCTCCCGGGTTCAAGCGATTCTCCTGCCTCAGCCTCCCGAGTAGCTGGGATTACAGGTGCCCGCCATCATGCCCAGCTAATTTTTGTATCTTTAGTAGAGACAGGGTTTCACTATGTTGGTCAGGCTGGTCTCGAACTCCTGACCTCAGGTGATCCACTCCCCCTCTCAGCCTCCCAAAGTGCTGGGATTACAGGCATGAGCACCGCACCCAGTCTAAATAAATTTTTAAAAGACAGGGTCTCACTCTGTCATCCAGGCTCGAGTGCAGCGCCGCAATCTCGGCTCTCTGCAACCTCAACCTCCCAGGTTTAGGTGATCCTCCCACATCAGCCTCTAGCTAGGTACATGCTACCATATCCAGCTAATTATATATATATATGTGTGTGTGTGTGTGTGTATATGTATGTATATATGTGTGTGTGTGTATACATATATATATACACACACACACACACACACACATATATATATACATACCTTTTTTTTTTTTTTTTTTTGAAGAGATAGGGTTTTGCCATGTTGCCTAGGCTGGTTTCAAGCTCCTGTGCTCAGGCAAACCTCCTGCCTTGGCCTCCCAAAGTGCTGGAATTACAGGTGTGAGTCACTGTGCTGGCCTTAAAATATTCTACAATACTACAATAGAAAATTGGGTAAACGGTAGGAATAGCCAATTAGCAAAAGAAGAATTTAACATACAAAATTAGTTTAACCCCAGTAACAGTCAATGAAATGTATGTTAAAATAACGAGGCGTCAGCAATCAAGAGATGGTATGACATAAAGGTTGAGAGCGAAGGCTCTGGAGACACACTCCCTGGTTTCCTATCCCTGGGCTCTCATCACTTTTCAGCTGCTGAATTTTAGGCAAGTTAATGAATCTTCATAGACCTCAGTTTCCTCCTTCATATAACAGAGTACCCACTTCATTGGACTGCTGTGAGAATTGAATGAATTTAATGTGACTTGTTCAGAACAACGCGTATTAAGCACTCAGTAAATGTTGGCCGCTATTATTATCATCTGTTACATTTGCATGGCATAATGAATGGTGTTTGGGGGGAGAATGTGGGAAAACACACACATTACTGATAAAAATATAAATTGGTATCCCTTTCTATAGGGAAATTTGATATTGACTCAAACACTTTCTTGTGTATACAGTCATGTGTCGCTTAATGACGGGGATATGTTCTGAGAAATGCCTTGTTAGATGATTTCATCACTGTAAGAACATCACAGAGTGTACTTCTACAAACCTAGATGGTCTATCCTATTACACAATAGGGTATAGCCTATAGATTACAGGGTATAGCCTATTGCTCCTAGGCTACAAACTTTTTAAATGTTAATTAATTAACTAATTAATTATTTTGAGACAGGGTCTCACTCTCTCATCCAGGCTGGAGTGCAGTGGCAGGATCAGGGCTCACTGCAGCCTCAACTCCTGGGCTCAAGCAATCCTCCTGCCTCAGCCTCCCAAGTAGCTGGGACTACAGGTGTGCACCACATCCAGCTTACTTTTTTGAATTTTTAGTAGAGACAGGATCTCACTATGTTGCCCAGCCTGGTTTCAAACTCCTGAGCTCAAGTGATCCTCCTGCCTTGGCCTCCCAAAGTGCTAGGATTACAGAAATGTGACTGTACTGAATACTGTAGGCAACTGTCACACAATGGTAAGTATCTGTGTATCTAAACAGCTAAACAGAAAAGGTAAGGTAAAAATACAGTACTAGATATCTTTTTTTTGAGATGGAGTCTCGCTCTGATGTGCAGTGGCACCATCTCGGCTCACTGTAACCTCTGCCTCCCGGGTTCAAGCGATTCTCTTGCCTCAGCCTCCCAAGTAGCTGGAATTACAGGCGCTCGCTACCACGCCTGGCTAATTTTCATATTCTTAGTAGAGACGGGGTTTCACCATCTTGGCCAGGCTGGTCTCAAACTCCTGACCTCAGGTGATCCACCCACCTTGGCCTCACAAAGTGCTGGGATTACAGGCATGAGCCACCGTGCTCTTTTTTTTTTTTCTTTTTTTTTTTGAGACAGAGTCTAGCTCTGTCGCCCAGGCTGGAGTGAGGTGGTATGTTCTCAGCTCACTGCAACCTCTGCCTCCTGGGTTCAAGCAATTCTCATGCCTCAGCCCCCTGAGAAGCTGGGACTACAGGTGCGCCACCATGCCCAGCTAATTTTTGTACGTTTAGTAGAGACAGGGTTTCGCCATGTTTCCCAGGCTGGTCTTGAACTCCTGACCTCAAGTGATCTACCCACCTCGGCCTCCCAAAGTGCTGGGATTACAGGCGTGAGCCACCATGCCGGGTCAAAAAATATACACTACTAGAATCTTATGGGACCACCGTCATATATGCAGTCTGTCGCTGACTAAAACAGTTTTTATGTAGTGCCTGACAGTATATATCTCTCTTTTGGCCAAGAGATTTTCAGTCCTTAGGAATTTATCTTAAAGAAATAATCAGACATGAAAATTTTATCTACCAGTATGCTTGCTGCAGTGCTTCCTTAAAAGTAGGACTCACAACACATGCACATGTATGTTTATTGTGGCACTATTCACAATAGCAAAGACTTGGAACCAACCCAAATGTCCATCAATGATAGACTGGATTAAGAAAATGTGGCACATATACACCATGGAATACTATGCAGCCATAAAAAAGGATGAGTTCATGTCCTTTGTAGGGACATGGATGAAGCTGGAAACCATCATTCTGAGCAAACTATCGCAAGGACAGAAAACCAAACGCCGCATGTTCTCACTCATAGGTGGGAATTGAACAATATCGCTTGGGCACAGGATAGGGAACATCACACACCGGGGCCTGTCAAGGGGTGGGGGGAGGGGGGAGGGATAGCATTAGGAGAAATGCCTAATGTAAATGACGAGTTAATGGGTGCAGCACACCAAATATGGCACACGTATACATATGTAACAAACCTGCATGTTGTGTACATGTACCCTAGAACTTAAAGTATGATAAAAAAAAAAATAGGACTCACGGCCCGGTGCGGTAGCTCACACCTGTAATCCCAACACTTTGGGAGGCCGAGGTGGGCGGATCACGAAGTCAGGAGATCGAGACCATCCTGGGTAACACAGTGAAACCCCGTCTCTACTAAAAATACAAAAAATTAGCCGGGTGTGGTGGCGGGCGCCTGTAGTCCCAGCTACTCAGGAGGCCGAGGCAGGAGAATCACTTGAACCCGAGAGGCGGAGGTTGCAGTGAGCCGAGATCGTGCCACTGCACTCCAGCCTGGGTGACAGAGTGAGATTCCATCTCAAAAAAAAGGAAAAATAAAAAAAGACTCACAATTGGAAATAACTGAAATGTCTAAGGATAGGAGACTGGTTAATTATTGTACATCGGGGGAAAATAGATATTAAAAATGACATTTTAGGAGAATATTTCCTGACCTTGTTATATGATCACAATATACTGTTCAGTGATATATCAGGTTATAAAAAAGCAATAAGTGTACATTATGGCCCCAGTTTTATAATAAATGTAAAACAAATATAGATGGAAAAACATCAAAAGGTAGTGGTTATAGACCATTCCAATTATCCTCTTTATACTTGTCAGCATTTTTCAAAAATTTTAAAAATAAACAAGTACCTAATCTCAGCACTTTGAGAGGCCAAGATGGGAGGATAACTTGAGGTCAGGAGTTCAAGCCTAGCCTGGACAACATGGTGAAACCCCGTCTCTACTAGAAATACAAAAATTGTCCAGGCATGGTGGCACAGGCTTGTAATTCCAGCTACTCGGGAGGCTGAGGCAGGAGAATCGCTTGAACCCAGGAGGCAGAGATTGCAGTGAGCCAAGGTCACGCCACTGCACTCCAGCCTGGGCAACAGAGAGAGACTCCATCTCAAAAAACAGCAACAACAAAAAAGCAAGTACCATTTTAATGAACAGAGAAGTAGTATCATTTTCAAAACAAGCATTAAAGGCCCCTGAAAAGGATATGACTTTTTCACATTCTCACTTCAACCCACCAGATGTTCTGCTTCTTTGTTGGAAGCGCTTTAAGTAAGCTCCATGCTTAGGTATGTGTTCGAGCCACTCTCATTTATTTATGGTTTTAAATAAATTATCAACGGAATAAAGAGAGTATATACGAGAAATATCTCAAAGACTTGTAAATTCAACTTTTGTGTCCTTGCATTTCCTATTTTTTTGATTATTTGTTCTCCTTTCTTTTAAGCACCAAATTATACCCTTTTAAAAAATAGCTCTTTCTCTTTTTCTGTTTTCTCTACATTTTTCTTAGTTTTTATGAAGGAAGATTGTTAATAACTGCCAGTATCTGTCACGACACAATCCTTTCTTTCTTTTCTTTTTTGAGATGGAGTCTCCCGCTGTTGCCCAGGTTGGAATGCAGTGGCGCAATCTCAGCTCACTGCAACCTCCACCTCCTGGGTTCCAGTGATTCTCCTGCCTCAGCCTCCCGAGTAGCTGGGATTACAGGCACACACCACCACACCCAGCTAATTTTTGTATTTTTAGTAGAGATGGGATTTCACCACGTTGGCCAGGCTAGTCTCGAACTCCTGACCTCGAATGATCCACCCACCTCGGACTCCCAAAGTGGTGGAGTTACAGGCATGAGCCACTGCGCCTCGCCACAATCTCTTTTCTTTGATGTCAGTATCTTTCTGCACTATCGCACTCTAAATACAGAGGGTCCCTGACGTACGATGGTCTGGCTGAATGATTTTTTCGAATTTACAGTGGCAGAAAGCAATACGCATTCAGTATGCTCCTCCACTTCCCATGGGGTCACATCCGCATAAACCCATCGTAAGTTGAAAATGTCGTAAGTTGAACTTTCAATTTATAATAGGTTTATTGAGAGGTAGCCCCATTGTAAGTCAAGGGCCATGTGTAGCCAGTTCTCCTGCGTTTCTTGGGCTTCAACTTTTAGTGCATCCATCACCTGAAATTCCTCTCTTCCTGCACTCATGTTTTCAGTAGTCTATAGAACGCAGGCCCAACAATATATTGATCTGTCAATACTCAGCAAATAAAGCCTGTGCTCACAAAATTAATCTCAGCCTAAGGGCAGCCCTTGTAGGAATTGTGAGCACACCCACCCCACGGATGTTGAAATTATCTCCCAGGACAAATGAGACTGGGCAGAATGTTCCTTGGCCAGTTTTCCTTGGCCATTCCATCAGTTGCTTCTAGTCCCTGGCTGAGAGTTGGGCTTGCTCAAGGGTGTCTGTCCACCCCAGAGCCTCATGAGCCACAGACATAGGATTGACCCAATGTCAGCAATTTCCCTTTCCTGTGGGGCAGGAGAATCAGGGCACCCTGAGGGATGGCACGTGGAAGGCAGCGTGGAACCCGCCTGAGAGCCTGTGTCCTGACTCTGCCTGGGAGCGCTGCACTTCACCCTTGGGAGAACGCCTTCTCAGTGGCTGAACTCTGCATTGTGGCTGTGCAGGCTGGCTTCAGACACTGTTTTCTCCAGTGAGGCCTCTTACACTCTGCTCAGCTCAGACCTGCCATAACCGCTTGTCGGATTTTCTCTATTTAATGATCAATGTCATATATGTACTTTTTTTTTTTTTTTTTTTGAGACAGAGTCTCACTCTGTTGCCAGGCTGGAGTGCAGTGGCGTGATCTGGGCTCACTGAAACCTCCGCGTCCCGGATTCAAGCGATTCCCTTGCCTCAGCCTCCCAAGTAGCTGGGACTACAGGCGCGTGCCACCATGCCGGGCTAATTTTTTTTTTGTATTTTAGTAGGGAGGGGTTTCACCATGTTGGCCAGGCTGGTCTCGATCTCCTGACCTTGAGATCTGCCTGCCTCTGCCTCCTAAAGTGCTGGGATTATAGGCGTGAGCCACCGCGCCCAACCATATATGTACTTTTCTAATAGAGTTTTAGATTGTTTGAACTTCTGATGGGTGAGAAAAAGAATAAGGCTATGATGGTATTCTTTCCCTTAGAACCCATATAGTTTCCAAAATTCATCTTTCATGTGCTCTTTATTTCTTTTTTAGAAACCTGGGTATTATTTTCCAAGCTTTGTGCTTTTTGTGAGGCTATACAGGTTCTATGGTGAATCCTCCTCATGCCTGCGACAACCTGGAGGACATTACTTGTTTTTAGCTGCTGATAAGAGTTTGCAAAGAACACACATCTTTGTTGGGAAATGCTTTGATGTGCTTCTAGGCAAGATGAAGAGTCACATGGAGTGGGGGTGGTAATTTGGGAGAAGGGCCAAGTAGCAGGGGATTCTCGATAAATATTAAATGAATGGAGGTAGGAAGGAGGTCTCTGAACCACACTGTGTGTGGGTTTAAGATCTTGCTGTGGGCTTTGTGGTGTAATGCCTCAATCTATATCCCCTACTGAAGTCTATATTTGCACTTGTGCTTTTGTGCAAATGGGGACAAGCAGAACTTCAAGACAATAATGAATATTTCAGCTACGTTTTTCCTCCATGAATCGTGCAAAGCTCTCTGAATTGGCACTATTACTCTTTCTTACTTCTGCAACCCCAGAACTGCTTAATGCAGTTATATTTTCCTTTCTCTTCCCAGTGACAGATGTCCCCTTATTTTCCTGGGCGGCAAATGCCTTCTTTTCCTTCCTTCCTCCTTAGAAACTCTCCTGAGCACAATAAGCTACAGAGCCTGGTGGTGGGCCCTATGGTTGGCTACATACCATGCCATCCCGGGGGCTCCCTTTTGGTTTCCTGCTGGTACCTGCCCTCGCCTGGGATGTCCTCTTTGGGTTCCCATCTGCCGTGCTCTCACCTGGAAGCCAGCTCTGTGGGCCTGGGAGTTGCCACGATTCCTACCATGGACCCTCCAGCTGGTTCCCATGCAGCCTGCCCTATCGTCGTGTGCACATTCACCTGCTAGGCATTCTCACTATGCAGTCAGTATGGGCCTGGCCTTTTCCTCTTCCTTGGAAAATCCATCTCAGTGTTTTCTTTTTTTTTCTTTTTAGGTAGAGTCTTGCTCTGTCACCCAGGCTGGAGTGCAATGGTGCAATCTCAGCTCACTGCAACCTCCGCCTCCTGGGTTCGAGTGATTCTCCTGCCTCAGCCTCCCAAGTAGCTGCGGCTACAGGCACGTGCCACCACGCCCGGCTAAGTTTTCTATTTTTAGTACAGATGGGGTTTCACTATGTTGGTCAGGCTGGTCTCAAACTCCTGAACTCGTGATCCACCCGCCCTGGCCTCCCAAAGTGCTGGGATTACAGGCTTGAGCCACTGCGCCCGGCCCATCTCAGTGTTGTCATCTGGCCCTGGTGTTTCTGACATGGTGTGTGCGAGTTCAGTGGATTCTAAAAACTGCTCCTCTCCTCCTTCCCCAGGGCTGCCCTCTGTCATTTCCTATCCAGCCTCCCTCTTTCCTTCCTCCTCTCTGGCAGTAACCTCGTACCCATCCCAGAAAGGCCATTGCCTTTCCCTGGTGACTTCCTCTCTCTTCCCTCCTCAAGGTCCTTGACGAGGTCATCGGGAGTGTCCTTGACAGCTCCCCTTTCTTTCCACATTCGTATAGTCTGGCTGATACCAAGATGCACCTTTTCTTTTTTTTTCTTTC